>NC_000012.12:108823764-108975279 GCF_000001405.40 Homo sapiens
TCAAGCGATTCTCATGTCTCAGCCTCCCCAGAAGCTGAGATTACAGGCATGTGCCACCATGGCCAGCTAATTATTGTATTATTAGTAGAGACATGGTTTTACCATGTTGGCCAGGCTGGTCTCAAACTCCTGACCTCCAGCAATCTGCCTGCTTAGGCCTCCTGGAGTGCTGTGATTACAGGCGTGACCACGCCCAGCCATAACATTTTCTAAGAAAAGAGAACAACTCCCTGATTAGGAGAGGGCAGTCTACTTTGTGAATTCTCATGCTCTTGCTGTTGATCTCTGCTTCTAACTCTCTGGCTTTTAACAACTCCATTGTTTCTTGGTGACTTCCCTTGATGGAATACAAGATGAAATTACACTTTCACTAGTTGTTTGCATTTTAAGAAAAGTGGGGAGGGGCCGGGTGGCTCAAGCCTGTAATCCCAGCATTTTGGGAGGCCAAGGCAGTGGATCACTTGAGGTCAGGAGTTCGAGACCAGTCTGGCCAACATGGTGAAACCCTGTCTCTACTAAAAATGCAAAAATTAGCCAGGCGTGGTGGCACATGCCTGTAATCCCAGCTACTCAGAAGGCTGAGGCACAAGAATCGCTTACTTGAGCCCCAGGGACGGAGGTTGGAGTGAGCCAAGATCGCACCACGCACCACTGCACTCCAGCCTGGGCGACAGAGCAAGACTGTGTCTCAAAAAAAAAAAAAGAAAGAAAGAAAGAAAGAAAAAAGTGGGTGGATACTGACTTGTGATTTAACTTAGTCAAGGTTGTCCTGTCCACTATTCTTGAGGAAAACCTCAAGTTGGCCCAATGAATTTCTCAGCAGAATGAATCTTTGGCCTTTGTTATTTTAGCTAGCAATAACATTTATAACTACCTATAACTTTAAAAATTACAATTAAAAAATGTTTATTTGGGAGGCTGGGGTGGAAGGATCATTTGAGCCCAGGAGTTCGAGACCAGCCTGGGCAACGTTGTGAGACCCCGTCGTACATCAAAAGTTTTTATTTTTAATTTCACTTTCATGACTTGGCTATCAAGTCTGGCTTTTGCAAAAATTAAGACATAAGAAAAGAATGCTTCAGCTATGAATTACTATCAATTGTTCAAAAATACCATCAACTCTCAAAATTATGCATAAAATACACCAAAATTATTAACAACGGCTTTGCGGGAGGTGGGGGAGGAGGAGGAATAGATTATCTTCTAGTATTTTCCAAATGTTCTATATTAAACATATATTAACCTTTAAAACATCTACTTTTGTTTGATTCTCAAAATAATATAAAACACTACTATATAATTTAAAAAGAACATTCTAATCTTAATAATTTCATAAAAGGAGGTCACAGTTCAAATTGTAGGCAACTATAAAAATTTCGCTCTTGAACAACCAATGAACATATACATGATTTGAAGGAAAAATCCCTAAGAAAAAGCAGTCTTCTAATTAAAGAGAACCTTGAAATTAAGTAAATCAATTCCTGACAGAAAGACGAAGATGTTTTCTGTAATACAAGAAAGCAAGATCACCTTTGCCCCAGACATCTAATGTTAGTAGTTAAACGTTCGAATTCTGGAATAAAAAACTCAGCAAAGTCTAAAGTATGACTCTGGGTGCCAAGAAAATGCCACAGGAACTAGCATTTCCAATCAGCAGCTCCTGAGATCAGGAAGACTGTTATGTTCTATGATATAAAGTCCACAATAAAATCTGTTAGTTTTTCTGGTTAAATGCTCATGCTAAAAATAGTGACTGCTCAAATATTAAGTAAGAAGACTTAGTTTTGCCTTCTTGTTCAGTCCTCTGAATTCCAGGCAATTGGTTTTCGATATCTTGTGACACCAATACTTGACATCTAACAGCATTTTGTCCACTACTGCAGATGCACTGCCGAGTCATCCTTTCCACCCTCTCACAGGCATATATTTGTGCTGCAAGGTTCAAGTGTTGAGGAGCTCAGGATTATAAATAACGAAAGAAACGAGAAGCAGCCTTTCTTTGCTGTCTCACCCTCACTCATAGGAAGTAAAAAGCTCTTTAGCATCCATCTGGCCGATCTCATTTCACAGGCTGCAGAATCACCTAACCCTTTCCACCTGCAAAGCTTGTCACTCTCTCCTTCCTTAGAATCTCACAGCTGAGTATGTTTTCAGAACTGTTCTTAGACACAGATCATTTACTATTTATTCTCATCAAAATCTGAAACAGCTATGCGAGAGGTTCCAAACTCATGAAACCTAAAACAACCATCAGTTCATCGAAGCAGCTGGGAAAATCTTTTCGAGACAACATCAACTGCTTTTGTTCATGAGATTAAAAAAAAAAAATTCATACTGACCAGAAACCCAAGCACGCTGGAAACAGCCAACCATTAACGATGACCTTTGCCTTGGAAACCATGAGCAAAAATTCCCCTTGGTTTCCCTTATATTTCCTTTGGAAAAAAAAAGGAACAATGCAACAGACTAGGCTGGTTTCACTCTGTGATCACTTACAAGGCCAGCTGTTCCTCCTCCATGTTCCTACACTGATAAGAATCAGGGACTCCTGCTCTACGCATGAAGTCAGGATGGCATTGATTGGGGCCCTGGAACACTCTGCCTCTGTTCCCCCACGACAATCAAGTAACAGGCATTTACTGTAAAAAGCAAGACTGGAAGCTGCAGGGAAGCCCAAGTAGCAGCGCATTATCCCGAAGCTGTGAGATCACCCTGCGTCCTGCAAATACAGTCAGGAGATACAGCCAGAGGAAACCGCACGACATGACTCTCCGGGTGGGGGGTGGGGTGGGAGGCCGCAGAGCATGGTCAGTCACAGGATTTATGAAAACAAGATGCAGAAAGTCTCTGTGACCCGGCTTCCTGGCTTCTCTTCTGAGCTCACTCTGGGCCCAGAGCCTCATGCGCCCTCTGCGTGGCTGACCTGAATACTGTATCTGACGACTGCAGCTTCTGATGCCCAGAGGCACAGGCTCCCGATTCATCAGACCCTCAAAGTGTCCCACTGGGGAAGTCCATGAAGAAATCCACATTGGTGATGGCACGCTCACTTTACCAGGTGTCTGGGGCCAGGAAGCCCAAACCCACAAGCCATCCATCCCAGCCACCCAGAAGTCACTCTTCTCACAAAAGATCTGAGTGTCCTAAAAGGAGTGACTAAAGTTACAAAAGGTCAGACGCAGACAGACAAAACGGAAATGTCTTCCTCCACCGCTGTAAGAAAAATCTTGATGAGGGATAAAAAAAAAAAAAGCCGCTGCCCTCTCTACCCGCCAACTGGAATGTTTTTATCTCCACCACACAGATCTGTTCTCGGACACTGATTACTGCCATTCGGGAAGCTTCATAAGATTAAAGTTTCTCCAAAGCATTGAAGACAGACAAAAAACCTCAATCAATGCTCCTCAAAAAACCCCAGGCCCCCAAAATATAAACAGCCAGTGTCATCCAGAAACCAAGCCATGGCAGGAAACCAGTAATCAGGGTGGTCATACGTACTAATTTGAGCTGGAAACCTCTGGACAGCAGAAGCAGTGGGTTGGCTGAAGGAAGATGCAGAAGTCGGTAAAATAAAAGAGGTTCGTGGCTGCAGTGCTCACATCTCTAACGCTCCCTACAACTGCCCTCCGAGCTCTGGCCATCTGCTCCCTATGGAGATCAGGAAAAGCCAGGAGGCTGCCGAGTGCTTCCACGAGGGCTGGGGAGCCAACTCCTCCTCAGAGTCCTACCCGAAAAGCAAATGGCTCTTGTGGAACTCTTGTCTTCCTCTGATATTTTGGCTGAAAAAGGCCCTTGTCCCAGCACATCCTGATGAAAGAGGGCCATTCAGCAAAACAGCTGAGGTTCCTCTAATCACTGCACTCCTACGGGCTTTTCTGTAGGCCGGAGAAACAAGCACCGGGGTGTGCATTCGACATTGTGAGGGCAAACAACTGGCCCCAAGGAACCAACCCCAAGCAACAAGACCCCCTTCCGATTCAAATCAACATTCTGAAGGATGACTCTTTCTTTCAAATCAGCATCCATTTACCCAACGGTGACGGTGACGTGGGCAGCTGCCGCAGTTAGTTATTCTGCGTACTCAAAGCACGGTTACATCCTGAAAATTCTTCAGTCATGCTAACAGCTATCTGAGGGGACACGCCAGGTAGAGGGGACCACATGCACACCTATGAGGAGCTCTGGGATACGCACGGTGCCCAAGGCAGGTCAGGCTGCAAAGGTCCTAAAGGTTGGAGGTGTGATCCCAAACCCTCCAGGCACAAGCCAGCCAAGAGCTGTGTTTTTAGCGTTTCTTTCAGTGAGAGAAATAAGTTCAGGATGTGAATAACCATGACGCAGGAGAGAATGGAATAAGTACCCTAAGAAAGGGGCTCGGCTAGGGTTTACAAGAGGGAGGAGGGAGCATTTAACTGGTGACTTCTGGAACAATTCCTGAAGGAAGCAGCACTGAGTAGGGGCTTCTCTTCCCTCGGCTCACAAGTGACCAAGCGATCCTCCCTACGGATTAAGTGAAACACACATTACCATGATTCTGGTTTTGCAGGTGAGGAAACCCCAGCTTGCCTAGGAGCACATATCTCTACAAGATGGGGCTGGACTCACATCTATCTGCCCCACGCCCACCTGCTTAACCCCTGTTAAGCAGCTGTTCTACTCATCCAGAATGAAAATCAGAGCCATTATGCTGCGGTCACATCCGCTCATGCCTGCCCAGGTGCCTAATGGCAAAGCCACTAAGGCACTGAGAAGTCAGAATGTGGATCACATCTTCCGTCCTTCTTCCCAGTGTGTGAATGCATCATGCGTGGGAAAGAGAGAGAAGGAACCATTCAAGCAAACAGAACTCCAGGAAGACGAGACTGTGCCGGGGTTCTTCCATCTGCCCAAGTAGAAATCAGAAGGGCAGGGGACCCACAGCCTTATCCTACCCACCACTGCCGTCATAGTTGGGGGACAGGACACATCCTTTGGCCCTTCTGCACTGCATAGAGGCTAAGGAGTTCTGTAAACCACACAGCCACGCTGACCAAGAAGTCGCTTTCAAGGTAAGTTTCTCATCAACAGGACTATTATTTACTGAGGATCTCCCATGTGGCCAAGGCTGTAGGAGGTACTTAGCTACGCCACGTCATTGAACTCTGGCAGTTCTGCAGGGTAAGGTATTTTCTCCATATGACAAACGAAGGAAGCCCGTCAACAATTCCAAAATAGAATCACCAGGGATAGCATGGACAACGCCCATGGTGACTGCCGCGCTTTAAGGTTTAAGAAAAGTAAAAACTGGGGGTGATGACTCATTCCTGTAATCCCAGCACTTTGGGAGGCTGAGATGGGTGGATCATTTGAGGTCAGGAGTTCGAGACTAGCATGGTCAACATGGCAAAACCCTGTCTCTACTAAAAATACAAAAATTAGCCAGGTGTGGTGGTGCATGCCTGTAATCCCAGCTACTCAGGAGGCTGAGGCAGAGAATCACTTGAACCCAGGAGGCGGAGGTTGCAGTGAGCCAAGATCGCACCACTGTACTCCAGCCTGGGCGACAAAGTGAGACACTGTCTTGGGCAGGGGCGGTGGGGAACAAAAGTAAAAACAATGGTCTGGGAATTCATATTTCTGGGTTCCAATTTACATTCTACCATATATACTCTGATTAACCCCTAGAATTAACCCCTAGAATTCCTTACAGGGTTCTGTTCATTCATCCAAACAGGCAAACATTTGCAGAGCATGGAGCACAGGGTAAGCCAAGCCAGCCCAAGCTCTGATAAGGGCAAAGACAGCCATCCTCTTTAAGGAATGGGTATATGTGCTGGTGATCTGGGTGTCTGCCCTGCTGCATAGAAACAGCATTTCTTGAAGAACAAAAATAGTAGGTATAGAAACATCACAGTATGGAATATCCAAACACCCCTGAATTCCAACTCTGGTCATACATTGAAACAACCTATCAAACTCCTAAAACACATTCATGCCCAGGTCCAGCCTCAGCAGAGTCTAATTCGGAAGGTCTGTGATGAGTCCTGGGCATCTACTTTTTTAAAAAGTTCCAGGGAGCTGGGCATGGTAGCTCATGCCTGTAATCACAGCACTTTGGGAGGTCAAAGTGGGAGAATCAGTTGACCCCTGGAGTTCAAGATTAACCTGGGCAACGTAACAAGATCCCATCTCTACAAAAAAATAAAAATAAAATTAGCTAGGCTTGGTGGTGTGTGCCTGTAGTCCCAGCTGCTCAGGAGGCTGAGGTGGGAGAATCACTTGAGCCTGGTGAGGTCAAGGCTACAGTGAGCTGTGACCACACCACTGCACTCCAACCTGGGAGACAGATCTTGTCTCCAGAAAGTTCCAGGGGGTGCTTCTGATGCACAGCCAAGTTTTAAAAACCTCAGAATCAAATAACATCATGGCCAGGCATGGTGGCTCACGCCTGTAATCCTGGCACTTTGGGAGGCCAAGGTGGGTGGATCACTTGAGGTCAGGAGTTCAAGACCAGCCTGGAAAACATGGTGAAACCCAGTCTTTACTAAAAATACAAAAATTAGCTGAGCGTGGTGACGCACACTTGTAGTCCCAGCTTCTTGGGAAGCTGAGGCACGAGAATCACTTGTACCCTGGAGGTCGAGGCTGCACTGAGTGGAGATTGTGATCCTGGAGTCCCCACTGCACTCCAGCCTGGATGAGAGTGAGACTGTCTCAAAAACAAACACACAAACAAACAACATCAGAAGACACAGAGAAAACAGTCTTCTCCATGGGCTTCATAAAGATACCTCTCACATAGGTACACGTCGATGTTTTCTGCTGGTAAAAGGTAACACCAACAAAAAGGCATGGTGCTCTCAGAAGGTGGGTGATGTGATTAGGTGCAATAAAGGGAGGTCATGCTAGGGTCAAAAACAAAATAATACTCTCTTTGGAAGCAGTAAAACAGATGCTAGTCTTCTACTACACACTTTCAGAGACCTGAATGTTCTTCTGGCCCTCTAAGGGAGACGCTGCATCATGACAATACGAAATGATGACAGTGAAAGCAAAAACAGATCAGACCTGTGCTGTGTGAAACAGACATGGGGTCTCGCTATGTTGCCCAGGCTGGTCTCCAACTCCTGAGCTCAAGCGATTGTTCCGCCTTGGCCTCCCAAAGTGCTGGGGTGACAGCTGTGAGCCACCGAGACCAACCTCAGATCAGACCTTTGACAAACTCTGCTGTGGACAAAGCATTCTGGTGAATGTCAACTCATCTGATCTTCACAAAACCGTGTGGAAGACCAGACAGGCATTATTACACTAATTTATGCCTAAGGAAACAGGGAGTTAAATAGTACAAATTTAGGATTTCTGATGCTGTATCTCGAAAAAAAAGTAGAGAATATGAGCCTGAAGAAGAGGCCCTGTAAAGGGTCCCAGATTGATGGGACAGGCTGAGACAAACGGAATCACTTTTCCCTGGATAGAACTAACCCTCAATGGTACCCCACTCTGCATGGTGATTACTGAGGGGACTGTCAATTGTCCAGCGAACTTGATGGTAATTCTAGGAGAAAAAGGAACTAATGTAATGCTGTCAGCATAGAAAGATGGGTGCCAACGAGCATTCCAAAAAGGAGGCTCTGTTAATTCGGTTTCGATCAACAAGTATTTGCTGAGTGTCTATTGTGTCCGGTCAGTGCTAAGGCCTGAGAATTTAGAAGTGAAACAGACCCGGTTTCCACCCATGCCACAGACCACTCCACACCTGGTCTGGAGTGACACTGGAGGGCCAGGCAGGCACAGGACAGTAACTTCGATATAAGGCAGCAAGTTCCACGGTGGAAGGAGGTGGAAGGTGCAGATGCACGTACACACAGGGGTTCAGGGAGGCCTCCCTGGAAGAAATGAAGCCTGCGAGGCCCTGAAGGATCAGTAAACAGAGAGGCATAAGGGGCAGGAGAGTAAGATGATTATGCTACATGTACCTTATTGTGAACCCAGGAGGATTTGGCCTCTGTCATAAAAGGCCCCCCTGTGGGTTCATAAACCTCAATTTACAAATTGTGCTTTATATATCAGTTCCTTATAAGTTTGGTTAGCGTAAATTGGTTTCTTAGAACTTGATCATCCCTGAGTGAACTCACAAATTCAAGTTTCAGAATGTGCAAACCTAAGAAACAAACCTCATGCTTGTGGTTGAGACATCGCACTGTCAACATCACAAATTCTCAGCACCTGAATGCCTGGTATACTATCAACATATATTGTTTTAAATATGTAAATAATAGCTTTCTAGTTATAGAGAGTTTGTCCCTACATTTTTCCACTTAATTTTTACAATCCCATTCCCCTGATGAAACAACCCCAGCCTGGGCAACATGGCAAAATCCTGCCTCTACAAAAAATACAAAAATTAGCTGGGTGTGGTGGCGTGCACCTGCAGTCCCGGGTATTTGGGAGGCTGAAGTGGGAGAATCACTTGAGCCCGGGAGGCAGAGGTTGCAGTGAGCCAAGATTGTACCGCTGCACTCCAGCCTGGGAGACAGAGGGAGACTCTGTCCCACCCACCCCCGCCTCCCAAAAGAAAAGAAAAGAAAGAAAAGAAAATGAAACCACCAAGACTGGGAGAAGATAAATGACTTGTCTGTGGTCATCTGGCTAATAAGAGGTAGAATGGGGCTGAAAAAGTTCGGTGCTCTTCCTGAAGAATCCATAGGTCAGAAAGCAGCACCATCTGACCTGCAGCAATAGCAGCAACGTGGAAAGCTAATCAACTGACCTCAAAACCACTCTCAGTGAGGCTCTGGATGGATTCAGAACCCCAGGCCTAGCAAAGTGAAGTTGATAAAGATGTAAAGGAGATCGAAAATTCACCATTTGGAGAGAGATTAGCTAAAGACTGCAGGTCGGATGGAAAATTCTTTCCATGGTTCTCCCACAGGTTCTTCCCTCATTTGGAACTCGTGTTTAAAAGTCACAAAGACCCTGAGTTGGGCCAAGGTCTCGTTCTTCTTCACTGTGGGCCTTGCAGTGCAACATGGCAGGGCCTCGTTCCAAATGTCACTCTTCAGAGCCTAAGAAAACAAGTAACTTTAGGGACACACCTGTCAACCGGAGCTCCCAAATTGTACCCCCCTAAACACATAATGCTGAGCATAGAAAAATTCCAGCTCTGCAGAGCGTTATACTTAGGGAAAGGGGTCACAGACAAGGAATGCTGGCAGGGCTCATTACAAATATCTTTGCTGCTGGAACATGTATTGTTTGGCTAGAAGGCGTAGGCTTCTCTCAGAGAGAAGGAATGTCCAAAAGTATTTCAGACAGTAAGAGACATTCTCTGAGCCAGCTACACAGCTCTCCTTCAAACCAACGGGTAGCGGCAAGCAGCTGAACTGACCAGCGAGCTCGCAAAAGCAAGCTTTTTTTTTTTTTTCTCCCTAAATAAGACAGCAAGTGATGTGTCTTGGCTTGGTTTAGCAAATTTTAAGATAGTTCCCTGATGACCCCAAGAGCCCTCAGGCCCCATGGAAGCTGGAGCTAATGCATCTTCCTCCAAGCATCATCTGCTCTACCAGGATCTAAGCCCCTTCACGAGGGCAGAAGGTATAAAGGCTGCACTGTGCGGGAAATGCTATGGCAGCAAAGACAGCCAAACACGCCAGAAATAACAGGCACATGAAGGAAATGTTTCTGAGACAGCTCAAAAATTCCGAGAAGAGATTATCCCGACTGTCCCAGGTTCTCAGCCCTGTCTATGGTATGCAGCCCCATACCACAGTCATTTGTCACCGAGTCCTAACTTTGTCAGAGGCCCCTCCTTTCAGGTCTCTCAGGCACCACCCAGTTCTGGCCCTCCTCACCCCCGTGAGCCAGGCGACATCCAAGCAGCCCCACGGTGCACCCGGCTCTGTGCTGCATTCTCTGAATGTCCCTGAAGGCCAGGGCTGTTGTATTCTCTACCCACTCTCTGTCTAGTATGGGAGCCACTGGCCAGATGTGTTGACTGAACACTTAAGATGCAGTAAGTGTGACCAAGAAACTGGGTTTGTCATTTTATTTCATTTTAGTTAATTTAAATTTAAGTTTAATTAGCTACATGAGGCTATCAGCTGTGGTATAGGACAGCAGAGCTCCGGAAGCTTTTGGCCTGGTGAGAAGAATCAGGACAAGCGCCTCCCTGGCCTCTCGCCCACTCTGCACAGCCGCTAACCATTGCTCTCATGACATTCTTTCCCAGCCCCAGAACTTTTAGCCATGTGACATCATCTATTGATTAGAGTCCAAACTTCTTGTGCTAACTCTCTATGGGTTGCCACAATTAGCCATTGTATGTCGTTAACCTAAATTTCATTCATCTGCTATGTCCTGACCTTAGGGGCTTAGAATATAGTTAGAAAACAGTATTTCAGAATAAAAAACCATTCTTGTATTACCTCTCGCACTATTCCCCCTGTTCTCCATGCTTCGCATTCTCTGTTCTATCCCCAGCTATAGCACTGTCCCCATAAAGCCTACTGTGGTTCTCGGCTCATGGTGTCCTTCCTCCCATCTGCCTCCCGACGTCATGCCTGTCTTCCAGTGTTTATGCCTTCTCCAGGAAGCTTTCTCTTGTGGCCCTCGCTGTGAGCTATAGCTCCTCCCTTTCAACATCTTCTAGCACCTCCTCTTACTGTGCAGGTGAGGACACTGAGGCTTAAGGGTTAAGTCACTTGCTCAAGGTCACATACAGTCGGTCCTCTGTATCCGCGGGTTCCTCATCAGTGGATTCAACCAACTACAGACAGAAAATACAGTATTTGAGGGATGCTGAACTCTTTGAATTAGTGGGTTCTGCGGGTGCTTAAGCATCCATGGATTTTGTTATCCTCGGCAAAGGCGGGGGTCCTGAAACCAATCCCCTTGGATACTGAAGGAAAGACCACCCTTAGTGATAGGAACCTAGGAACCCAAGTTCCCTCATTTCCAAATCGTGTTCCCTGACCCACTTATTTACTAACTAGTGGTGAAGCCATCTTCCTGCCAGTATATTTTAACTTCACAATGGGATGTGAGGGCCAGGATGCACATGCTTTTTAAATCTCCCTCTGTGCTTGACATACAGTAGATTGAAAGTAAGTGCTGGTAGATACACTGGCCAAGCTGTGCTCTTCTCTGAAGTCAGTATTCCAGGAGTAACTCACCCTGGTCATCTCTGTGCCCTGGGCACACTGGGCACTCCCCACACACAGGTTGAACCTGGCAAATAAGACTCACAGCATCATGCCACGTGCGAGTTAAAGCCACCTGGAGGTCAGGTCAGGTCTTCCTGACAACTGAGTGCTTCAAATAACACAACAGCAGCTAAGTTCCCCACATCACCTTGAGTGTCTGGAGAGCTAGGCCTATGACTTCTCTGTCTCAGGATCCCTCTCAGTGCCCAGAAAACAGTGGACATCAATAAATGTAACACCAATAACATCTTCGTTGAGCGCTATGCTAAGCACATCAGGTATGTTAACTCATTTATTCCCCAGTGTCCATCTCTCAGTGTTTTATACATACGGGAACTGAGGCTCAATTAGCCGAGCGTGGTGTCGTGCTCCTGTAATCCCAGCTATTGGGAGGCACAAGAATCACTCGAACCCAGGAGATGGAGGTTGCAGTGAGCCGAGATTGTGCCACAGCACTGCAACAGAGTAAGACTCCGTCTTAAAAAAACAAAAAAACAGAAAACAAAACAAACAAACACTGAGGCTCAGGGAGGTTAAGTCACCTGCCCAAGTTCATGAGACCAAGGAGCCGGGAAGCAGGAAGGGGAAGGCAGGAGTGTAACTCTGAAACCTCTGCTCTTAGGCACTGGCTTTCAGCTGAACTGATACCTCTGGAAAACAGTCTCAAAAAAGTCCACTTCTCCTCCCAACAATTCAGACCTAAAAACCATTTGGCGGGGAAGGGCAGGGCAAGCTTCTGAGTTGGGGAGGGGGTGTGGGATCCCAAGCTGAGGTGTCTGTTGGCAAGCAGGGTGCAAAGGGCATCTGTGCAGGGAGGGGGCTGCAAGGGAGACAGAGACTGCTCACAGGCAAGGAATGAAATATTAAACATTAATGTTAATATTAATATTTATAATTAATATATTTATGATATATAGCATATATACATATTATATTAATTAATTATAACTATATTAATATAATTAATTATAACTATATTAATATAATCAATTATAACTATATTAATATAATCGATTATAACTATATTAATATAATCGATTATAACTATATTAATATAATCGATTATAACTATATTAATATAATCGATTATATTAATATTAATATAATCAATATTAACAAATATATACTATATAATATAAATAATACCTAAGTTTATATAATATGCATAATGTTAATATTTATTAATATTTCAGGGACAATGGGAGTCATGAATATGGAGAGACAAAACTAGAATGAACCCCAAGGTGCTGCATCAGAATTGAAGGTACCAGTCTGAACTCATAGTTTTCAACCTATTGAAATAAATATAGATGCACGTGTGTGTGTATGCACGTACATACAAATGTTCCCTAATTCTGCCCATTGAGAGGCCTGTGGTTAGCAACACCCCAACAGCAATAAGCAGACCTAGCTTGGCTCCTAAATTTCATTTTCCACTAAAAGGAACCAGAGCCCCTTGGATAAAGGACTGATTCCACAGGTGGGTAGGGAGCATCTGTTGCCAGAAAGCAAGAAAGCACTTAAAGAATGATGTGGACATGTCAAAGGGACACAGAAGCCAGCCTGGATGAGATCCCACTGGCCCTAACTGTCCACAAGGACAATTTGAGCAAGGATGTCAACAATTTAAGAGCAGATTATAAACCACTGAATAAAACAGAAAAATACAAAGAATTGAAACGGACATTGATGGCAGACAGGATATTAACATAATTTTAAAGTATCTCTCCAAGGAATGCTTCTGAATGATGAAGGGGAAAAGAATAACTGTACAGTGGAAAAGCCTGGTAAAACCCACCTTAGTGACCAAAGTGAATGTCACCATAGTGGGACAAAAGGAAATCAAGTGCCACCTTATGGGATTCAACGAGGACGCAGCATCCCTTGGGTGATGTTCCAGCCAAATACACGTGCCCGGTGGAATCACACAAGAACATCAGACACACTCACACTGAGGGACACTCTGCAAACTGACAGTACTGGGCACAAACATGTCCAGGTCATGGTCGACCGCAGTGGCTCATGCCTGTAATCCCAGCATTTTGGGAGGCTGAGGTGGGCGGATCACTTGAGGTCAGGGGTTCGAGACCAGCCTGGCCAACATGGCAACACCCTATTCTCTACTAAAAATACAAAAATTAGCCGAGCGTGGTGGAGCATGCCCGTAATCCCAGCTACTTGGGGCGCTAAGGCACAAGAATCGCTTGAACCCGGGAGGTGGAGGTTGCAGCGAGCTGAGATATCACCGCTGCACTCCAGCTTGGGCGACAGAGTGAGTTTCCAACTCAAAAAATAAAAAAATAAAATAAAATCCAGGCCACAAGAGTCAAAGAAAGACTGAGGAAGGTTCCAGACTGCAGGAGAGCCAAGAGACAGGATAACTAGATGCAATGGGCAGTCCTGAATTGGATCTTTTGTTATGAAGGACAACGCTGGGACATATGGTGACTCTTGAATGGGGTTAGAGGACTAGACGGTGGGAATGCATCAGAGTCAGTGTCCCGCGTGGATGGCTGTGTTGCGGTTCTGTGGGAGAATGCCCTGGTCTGTATTCCAAGGGTAATGGAGTAGCAGGTTGACAAATTACTTTCAAATGGTTCAAAAAAGAAAGTTCTTTTCACTGTACTTGCAATTCTTATGTAAGCTGGAAATTATCTCAAAATTAACGAGAATTTTTTATCGACGTAGTATTTTACATATTTATGGAAAACATGTAAGTATTTGTTACATGCATAAACTGTGTAATGACCAAGTCAGAGTATCTGGGGTATCCATGACCTTGAGTATTAATCATTTGTATGTGTTGGGAGCATTACAAGTTTTCGAGTTACCAATTTTTTTTTTTTTCCTTTGAGACAGGGTCTTACTCTGTCGCCCAGGCTGGAGTGCAGTGGGACGACCACGGCTCACGCAGCACAGCCTCCACCTCCCAGGCTCAAGCGATCCTTCCACCTCAACCACCCAAGTAGCTGGGACTACAGGTGTGTGCTGCCACCCCCAGCTAATTTTTTAATTTTTTTGTAGAGACAGGGTCTCACTATGCTGCCAGGGCTGGTACTGAACTCCTAGGCTCAAGAGATCCTCCCACCTCGGTCTCCCAAAGTGCTGGGATCATAGGCATGAGCCACCATACCCAGCCAAATTTTTTAAAGTTATTTTTTAAATCTCCACTTAATTCGATTTTGGTAAAACACGACCTGTAATTTTTCTTTATCGGTAGGTAATAAAAGCTTCAGATGATTTTACTGATCACTGGTATGGGCATATTTCATGACTTTGCCCTTTCATCTCTTGCATAGTTTTACCCTCACCAAGCAAGACCTTCCCTGCCTCAGCACTGTTTGCCCTCTTCGTGTTTTCCAGAACAGAAGTGGCCCTGTTTCGTGCCCAGAGCAGAAGAGAACGATGAAGAGCTCTGCTCTCCCAGGTCTTCCTGGTCTGTGTGTGTCCAGGTTTTGAGGGCCTCTCACATACACGGCTCTGGACCACGTAAGATCTAATTTTAGCATTTTCCTGCTCGGAGACCACATGTTTGGAACAGCAGGGGCTGACCTGCCCGTGCAGGCCTCCTATTGTGAAGGGCACGCGAAGCCAGGATACCGCAGCCCTGCAGGATGTGACTCAGCATCCTGTCTCAGTGCTGGGGCGGCCAGCAGCTCTGGCACCAAGTGCTGCTGCTGACCTCACCTCTTAAGACCACAAATACCCAGGGTAATTGGTGGGATAGGCATGCAGCATCAGCTCTCCCTGTTAAGACAACTTGCTTGTCCATCCATTATGCTGGGCTTCCTTGTGAACACCACAGGTATCTATCAGGAAGAGTTCTTCCGAGGAACTGATCTGCTGGTATTTTCAGGACACCAAGAATCAAGAGATTGGTCTTGTTTCTCTCTTTGCTTTGACTACCAGGAAACTCAAAGTCAGATCTGTGGCCAAATTCTGGTAACCATACCAATGCTATGTCATGTATTACATGTACAAACCTTCCCCTTACTTCATCTTATTTTCTTCTGCTTTCTTCGTGTCCCGATTTTCTCACTAATGTTACATTCTATTGTTCTCTATGAATGTTGTAAGGTGTTTCAAATCCTTTTTGGAGGGCACTACTGTAGATACAACACACATTACCCCTGAGGGATAAGGACTCTTTTTGACTCCACACAGAATCCCTGGCATTTGGCAAAGAACCCATATTTAGGCACTAAATACACATGGGCTGAATGGAAAAAGCCAATAGCTAAGTAAAAACCACCTCCATTACCATATTGTTTCACAAGAGGTTCTTTTCCCTTCCATCTCATGAGGTGGGGCCTGGTCAGGAGTCCCCAGGGCCTGGGAATTAGGTTCCTTAGGGAGCCTTCTTGCTGTAGGGGCAGCCAACAGGTCAGTGGCCTTGACTCCAGACCTAAAGAGCCACTCCTAGACTCCCAGCTGCAACAGACACAGCGTGGCACGGGTGGGCCTGGCCACTGGGGAAGTGACAAGTGATTTCCAGATGCTGCAGCCAGCCTGGCTCTTTCCAGACCACACTGAAGGCCCCTTCCTGTGGGAATTCTGATGGGGCCCAGATTTGGGGAAACACGCCTCGAGGACTCTTGGCAAGTGCGTGCCAGGCCTGGACCAGGAATGACTTCTGTGGGCACAGGGAGAGACCAGGCATTTCCTAACACAGGACCTTGAACAGCCTTCTCTGAAACAAAGTCTTTCTAAAAATAGCTTCAAAAGTAACCATTCAAGAAAAGAAAGAAAAAAAAAACTGTAAAAGTAAAGGCACTCAAGAATGATATTTCCCAGATAAAAGCCTGGCACAGGTTTCAGAGGAACTTGCAGGAAAACAGGTCAAGGCTGGGTTTTTCCTCTTAGGTGTCACTTGGTTAACATTGGTCTTTGGAGGGGAACAAGTGCGGCAGGAAGGGCTGGCACTGAAAATGATGGCCACTGGGTATAGGCCAGGGCCAGACACTGTACACAGAACAAGACTCTCTGGAGGCCTCAGGAGGGCCCTGAGAGGAGGAAGGCAGGTGGTGGGCCCAGGGTCAGACATGCAAGTGAGCTAAGTGGCAAGGCCGATGCCCCATCCAGAAGCCCCGCTCTGACCACACGCAGGCTCTCCCGGCATGTCCTCATTTATGCGGCAGTCTCTTGTATCTCACTGCAATTCTGCCCCCACACTGCAGGCTGGCCAGCGTGGCTTCCTCATAAGCACATCACCCTGCATCCCGACACTGACTACACCCACAAAGCAGGAGCCCCCGCACCCTCCAGCCCAATCGCTCAGTTCGCTTTGAAAATGGCTCCTCTCGGGGGCTGGGCGCAGTGGCTCATGCCTGTAATCCCAGCACTTTGGGAGGCCGAGGTGGTTGGATTGCTTGTGGTCAGGAATTCAAGACCAGCCTGGCCAACATGGTGAAACCCCATCTCTACTAAAAATACAAAAAATTCGCCAGGCATGGTGGTACAAGCCTATAGTCCTAGCTACCCAAGAGGCTGAGGCAGGAGAATCACTTGAACCCAGGAGGCAGAGGTTGCAGTTAGCCGAGATCGTGCCACTGCACTCTAGCCTGGGTGACGGAGCAAGACTGTCTCAAAAAAAAGAAAAAAAAAAAGAAAATGGCTCCTCTGGATTTTGATTAATCCTATTTTGATTAATCCTGGTTTCTCATTTTCAGCCTTCCTTGAAGCAGCATGACCCATCTGGATGTCCTCCTCATCTCAGGAATTTTCTAATAAGCTGTCTAAATCCAGAGATCCGACCACAGAACAATGAATGCCAAAGATGAGTTCTAAAGATGCGAGTACTTTCTTTCTAAACGGACGCTGCTTTGTGTATGGCTCTGCTCCTGGGGGCAGACGCGGCAGGCTAAGCCCTGCGGAGGAGGAGGTGAGTCCCAGCAGAGGGTCACTTCCTCTCAGTAGCCCGGCTGGTTTTCTCCACTGCAGGGTCAGACCATAGCCCTGACCCAGCTAGACCCCCATAAGCGCATGACCTTGCTCTCACCGTGGGAATAAAACTCGTGATAGTCAGTTACAAATACACAGCAAATGATGAGCAGCACAATATAAACACAGATCTAGATTGGTGGGTCTGAGGACTCATTCTTAAATTTGGAGGCCATCACCTAATCTTGTCTTTTCACTTTACATAGCAGGAGACAGGGACCCAGAGAAGTGAAGAGGCGTTGCCTTAGGTTGCACAGCAGATGACGCCTCTCAAGATGGACCCTAGGTTGTCTGACTCCGTCTCACAGCTTTGCCCCATTTATCATGAAGATGAACGCTGGTAACACTGCTACCTACGAGCTGAGCTTGCACGCACATTCCTGGTGTGTACATGCATGCGTGCACGCTCACGCAATGTGCTAAGTGCACAGGAAGGAGACCAGAGCCCTGAGGCGTTCTTTTGAAGTCTAAGTACTGGTGTTTCGAAAGTTTAATGAAACCTACTAGACTCTGAGCAAAATTCGTTTTACGTTAACCTTAATGAAAAGTTTAATTAAGTTCTGACAGAATTAACTCTTCACGTCTCTGTCCTCATTTGTCCCCATTCTAGAATGAGTTTTCTAATTAAAAAAAATATATAGGGCCGGGTGCAGTGGCTCACGCCTGTAATCCCAGCACTTTGGGAGGCCGAGGCGAGTGGATCACCTGAGGTCAGGAGTTCGAGACCAACCTGGCCAACATGGTGAAACCCCGTCTCTACTAAAAATACGAAAAATTAGCTAGGGGTGGTGGCGCATGCCTGTAATCCCAGCTACTCGGGAGGCTGAGGCAGGAGAATCACTGGAACCCTGGAGGCAGAGGTTGCAGTGAGCCAAGATCGTGCCACTGCACTCCAGCCTGGTGACAGAGCAAGTCTCCATCCCCCCCCACAAAAAAAAAGTATATATGTGTGTGTGTGTATATATATATATATATATAGCTAGGCACAGTGGCTCATGCCTGGAATCCCAGCACTTTGGGAGGCCGATGTGGGCAGATCACTTGAGTCCAGGAGTTCAAGATCAGCCTGGGCAACACAGTGAGACCCTGTCTCTACCAAAAATACAAGGTGGTGTGCACCTGTGGTCCCAGCTACTTGGGAGGCTGAGGTGGGAGGACCAATTGAGCCCAGGAGGTCGGGGCTGCAGTGAGCTGTAATCATGCCACTGTACTCCAGTCTGGGCAACAGAGCAAGACTCTGTCTCAAAAAGAAGAAAAGAGAGAGAGAGGGAAAAAAAATTGAAGGCAAATTCTGATTTTCAAATCAAACGTTCCAACAAACTGCAGAAATAAAACCCGAGTTAAACCAAAAGGAACAGCCAAACAGCACAATGACCCCAATGTTTAAATATGCCCCAATGTTTAAAAGTGGGAGTCAATGGGAGGCCACTACCTACAAGGCCACAGGGGTTAGGGCAGGACTCAGGTCCCTGAATCACAGCAGCCTGCATTCAAACCCTGGCTCAGGCCTCCCACCAGCCTCGTGGAACTGGTTTCCTAAAATGAGGAGAGTCCCTACTTTGCAGGCTTGTGACAACAAGATGACAGCAAGTGCAAAAGTTCCAAGCCCAGAGCCTGCAGCCTGCAGAAGCTGGCCTCATTACCACCCGGATGTTCTCCGGGCTGCAGCACATGAAGGGGATACGTGACAATCCCTGCTTTAAGTACAGCTCAGGGAGTTGACGGGACCTGCCCAAGCACATAGTGATGCCGCTAATGGCTCACCAGGAAGAATGGACTGCAAAGCCTGGTTCTTCTGATAAACTCCATTCTGTCTCCCAGTGTGGGTTCTGATGCATAGGGAGGAGGAAAAGACAGTGCTTGGATTTTGGGGTGAAGAGCACAGGTTTTGGAGTCAATGAGACATGGAGTATGAGGGTCTCAGCTCTACCGTTTACTACTAAATAAAAACAGGCCACTGACCTCTCTGGGGTTTAGTCTTCTCCTCCAGGGAATGGGAATTCAAATGTCCTTACAGGGTTTTCACAAAGATTAACTGAAATAATGCACACAAGGCAATCACAGAGTGGAGTATGGGTGCTCCCTTTTCTCTCCTCCATCCCTGCTTTATTTTTTCGCCTGGGCACTTACCAACACACGATTATTGCGCTTGTTTATTTTATTTACTGTCTTGTCTCCTCAACAGAATGTCAGCTTCCAGAGCAGGAATTTTTATTTTGTTTGTTGCTATATTCCCAGCCCCTAAAACAGGGCTTGGCACACAGTAGGAGCTCAAAAAATATTTGTTGAATGAATAGCTCACAAGCAGACAGATGAGGACAGAGGGGTCTTGAGACTGATCTAACAGCACCGATATTACTAAACTGCAACGGAGGCAACGGTGGGAAGAATTTCTCTGTCCTTTGTTTCCTGAAAGTCCAAGACCACTTTTAGTTGCTCAACAGGAAACAATACTCAACTTACAAGACCTCTAGGGCCTATCCAGGGCAAACTGGGCACTGTGAGGCAGGAGGTCAGGCAGCCCTGTCCCTAGGGTGGCTCACGGTCTAGTGGGCAGGGCCAGCTTCTTCATATGTGCTCAGAGGGGCCCCGTGCTTGGTTTAATACTCTGTTGGTGCCATCTTGAAATTCTTAATAATGTTTGTTGTTGTTGTTTGTTTGTTGGTTTGAGACAGAGTCTCACTCTGTCGCCCAGGGTGGAATGCAGTGGTGTGATCTCAGCTCACTGTAACCTCCACCTCCCGGGTTCCAGTGATTCTCCTGCCTCAGCCTCCCAAGTAGCTGGGATTACAGGCACGCGCCACCATACTCGGCTAATTTTTGTATTTTTAGCAGAGACAGGGTTTCACCATGTTGCCCAGGATGGTCTCAAACTCCTGACCTCAAGTGATCCGCCCGCCTCGGCCTCCCAAAGTGCTAGGATTACAGGCGTGAGCCACTGAGCCCAGCCTCTTAATAATGTTTTTAAAAGGGGCTCTCCCATGTTCATTTTGCACTGGGCTTCACAAATTACGCAGCCAGTCCTGCATTACAGGAAATATTTCTGTACCTAAGTACATATACTACAAAGCAAGTACCAAACACCAAGGAAACACTAAGGAGAGAAAAACGCCTGTGAGAAGAAAAAGGAAGACACGAATCATTCCCAACAGAAGCTGTTACCATGAAGGAAGTACGGGCAGGGGCATTTGTTGAATGTCTACTATGGGAGAAGGGGTTCGCATCATGAGCACATTTAATTCTGACAACCACCCTACAAGCTGTGTACTATACTGGCCATTTGAAACTAAGGCCTGCCCGAGATCATATAATAGCCTAGGAGGTGACAAAGGACAGACACAGGAGCCAAACCCATGCCCATCCCTCCCTAAGTCCAAAATCATAGAAAAAAAAAAATAAGAATCAACATGGGCGGTTATTTTTAAGGCCAGCATGTTCAAGGTGGGGGCAAATCCAAGAGACACTAAGCCTCAGAGCATGAACAAGCATGTGGGTGCTGAGTGGAGGGGACCAGTGTTTACCAGGGTGATGTCAGACTCTGCAAGGCTCGCTCCCCGTGTTTCTGGTCTCTTCCCATGAGCACCAGGCACCCCTTACCATCCCCAAACTAGGCACATCTGTAACGCTGAATGGAAGCCTACTTGTTTACATGTGTTCTATGTTAGACTGGGGGCATCCCTAGAACACACACAGATTGACTGGTGGGCAGAATTCTGCTAGGTGCATGCACCCGAGTGAGCCTTTCTCTTTGAATGTGGGAGGGACCAGAGAACAAGATGGGAGAGCTGTTCCCTTAATTAGGCTGTGCTGCACATTAAAGGCGGTAAGACAGTCATTCCAGTGATAACAATCTGTCATAAGACCCTACAGAAGCAGACTCTCCTGTTGGCCTTGAAGAAGCAAGCACCACGAATTCTCCACAGCTGCAAGAAAATGAATTCAGGCCAGGCGTGGTGGCTCACGCCTGTAATCCCAGCACTTTGGGAGGCTGAGGCGGGTGGATCACCTGAAGTCAGGAGTTTGAGACCAGCCTGACCAATACGGTGAAACCCCATCTCTACTAAAAATACAAAAATTTGCAGGGTACACCTACAGTCCCAGCTACTCGGGAGGCTGAGACAGGACAAAAATTTGCAGGGTACACCTACAGTCCCAGCTACTCGGGAGGCTGAGACAGGACAAAAATTTGCAGGGTACACCTACAGTCCCAGCTACTCGGGAGGCTGAGACAGGAGAATTACTTGAACCCAGGAGGCAGAGGCTGCAGTGAGCCGAGATCGCACCACTGCACTCCAGCCTGGGCAACAGAGCAGAAAAAAAAAAAAAAAAGTAAAAAAAAAAAGAAAATGAATTCAGCCAAGAACCACGTGAGCTTAAAAGAGGACCCTGGGGTTCAGACAAGACCTCAGCCCCGGCCAGCAAGCCTTGTGAGTTCCCGAACAGAGAACCCAGCTATACCGTGTCCAGATTCCTGACCCATGGAAGCTGTGAGATAATAAACATGGCCTGGGTGCGGTGGCTGGCCAGGCATGATGGCTCATGCCTGTAATCCCAGCACTTTGGGAGGCCAAGGCGGGCAGATCACCTGAGTTCAGGTGCTCGAGACCAACCTGCCCGACATGATGAAACCCTGTCTCTACTAAAAATACAAAATTGGCCAGGTGTGGTGGTATGCGCCTGTAATCCCAGATACTTGGGAGGCTGAGGCAGGAGAATCGCTTGAACCCGGGAGGCGGAGGTTGCAGCGAGCTGAGATTGCGCCATTGCACTCTAGCCTGAGCAACGTGAGCGAAACTCCATTTCAAATTTAAACAAAATAAACATATATTGTTTAACTGTTAAGTTAGTGGTAACTTGTCATGCAGCAGGCAATGACTGATACAGTAACCTATGCACACATCCATCTCCAGTACGGACACAGAACTTGGATGCACGGGGTGCATGACACCTCTTGGCAGGACTTAACTGGACAGACAAGCAACAAAGACAATAAAGCCCAGGCTAAGATGGACTGCCAAGGGCAGGGAGGAACCCCAGAGTGTGGACAGGTGCAAAAGTAGGGGTGTTCAATGAAGAGGGGAAGCATGGTCTGCAGGGCAATGACATGCCAACCCCCATCCACTCTGACACTGTAGGGGAGGGGGTGAAGGCAAAACCACACTTCAAAAGGCTGTAGGGAGAATGGGGTCCCTGGGGGACTTCCAAGTGGAGACCAAAAGGGGAAGGGAGTGCGGAGAGAAAGGCAGAGGAGTCAGGGAGTTCACAGTTTACCACTGAAACCAAATAAAACAGAAGAGACAAAATCCTGCAGCTCGCTCTGGCCCAAACCTTTGCTAGGGCAGGCAATCACAAATGAGCAAATTATAATAATTCTAATGACCACGTTCCCGCAATTGACTTGGAAATGCTGGATTAAAAAAAAAAAACTTCACTCCTGATCCACACCCTGGGGACAATATTATCTCCCCAGTGTCCTACCTAGCCCACAACTACTTATGTCTCATGCCAGACTGAGCCAGCTCCCGGGATGGCAAGGGAGCCAGGAGCTGCTGCCAGCAGGGCCATCTGCTCACCAATTCCCACAGTCTGAACGGCACAGCTTCCAAAGAGGGACTACGAGCGGCCAGCAGCAGCCTGCACATGCAGAAGGCAGGGGAGAGCGAGGGAAATGGATCTATACTGCTCTGCTGCAATCATCTGCATGCTGGGTGTGAGATGATCAGTTCTTGAGACACTTCCCAGAAGGCCTTCAGAAATACTGTCTGAGTTACAACACTGCTTCCTCCAAGTCTGTATTCTTATTTGCATCTTATAGGAATGTAGCCGGGTAAAGGAGGAAGGCTGCTTCAAGTCAAAGGGCATCCATGGTGGGCGCCCTCTCAGGCCTGGACCCAGCACCTGCAGGAGTCGGCCCCTTTAATTCTCCTCTGCCGTGAACTAACACTGCACATCAGCAATACTTTGTGAAGACCGAGCACAGCAACCAAGCCCACTGTGGACCTGATTCTAGGCAAGGAACTTTTTTTTTTTTTGAGACAGGGTCTTGCTGTCACCCAGGATGGAGTGCAGCGGCACAATCTCAGCTCACTGCAGTCTCGACCTCCTGGGTTCAAGTGATTCTCCTACCTCAACCTCTTGAGTAGCTGGGACTACAGGCGTGCGCCACCATGCCCAGCTAATTTTTCTATTTTTTTTGCGGAGATGGGGTCTTGCCATGTTGTGTAGGCTGGTCTCAAACTACGGGGCTCAAGCAATCCACTCACCTTGGCTTCCCAAAGTATTGGGATTACAGGCGTGAGCCACTGGGCCTGGCCTAGACAAGGAACATCACACAACTACTCCACAACCCTGAAAGGTCACAGTGTCATCCCTGTTTTATAGGTGGAACAATTGAGACCCACAGAGCTGTAAGAACACACAAAGGTAAAGGAACTCAGCCACCAGCACAGGAGCCAGATGCCAAACTTAGGTCTGCCTGACTCAGAACCCCACTGCCTTCCCTCTACACCTGGCTGTTTCTCCTACATGTCTGGAATTTACTGCAGGGTCAAAGGTTCATCCATTTAAACTGTTCACTTTTATCAACTTACTTATTTTGAGACAGAGTCTCGCTCTGTTGCCCAGGCTGGAGTGCAGTGACGCAAACTCGGCTCACTGCAACCTCCCGGGTTCAAACAATTCTCCTGCCTCAGCCTCCCGAGTAGCTGGGATTACAGGAGCGCACCACCAGGCCGGCTGATTTTTGTATTTTTAGTAGAAAGGGGGTTTCACCATGTTGGCCAGGCTGGTCTCGAACTCCGGAGCTCCAGTGATCCGTCCCGCCTTGGCCTTCCAAAGTGCTGGGATTAGAGATGTGAGCCACCGTGCCCAGCCATTTAAACTGTTTAAATGCTACACAAAGGCAGAGAAATGAGGCCGTCACTAAGGGATTTGAGAGCAGTTAGGGATACAACAAGGGCACACAGACCTGCATTGTAAGGCGGGTGTGGCACCTGTCACAGATAGGGATGCCAGGGGCTCCCTGCTTTCTCTGAAGAGAGGGAAATCACAAATATCTGGGGCAGGCGCACTTTTAGCTGGTCATGAGGACTACAGCCAGGTGAAAAGGAACTGGCCTAGGGAACGTGTGTGACGGGGGAGCAGGGAGTAGTCCCAATGGACTGGAAAAGGCACATGCGAGAGGGGAGGGTGGAAAGGCCACCAACGCCGGTGACGCTGGAGCTCAGAAAAGACTCCGAGGACCAGAAGGAAGAAGCATCAAGGGACCAGGGGGTGATATGCCAAGGTAGAGAGGATGGGTCTGAGGTGTTCCTCTGTGACGGGACAGAAGAGATGTGAGGACCTGAAGAGGCGCCACCAGGGAACTTGAGAAAAAGAAGGCAGGTGGCTCGGAAGACCCGATCCATGTGACCCTGCAATTTATTGGATATGGATGAATCAGAGCTGACTTTTTCGATGACCCAAAAGATGAAACTATTAATTAAGGCTAGACGGAGGGGAGAAAAGAGAGAGAAATACCCTGCTACCTCCAGTTTTTCTCCCTACAGCACCTCCTAGAGATGAGGTGATGGCAGCTCACCTTCAGGATCCATTGGAAACAAAGAGAAATCTCTCCCTAATTCTCCTGACCCCAAACAGAAAGCAACCAACTATTCCATAATTTTCTTCTCTAGGAGAGATTCAGAGAGAAGAGGCCTGAAAATGCAAATTAACACACGGATGTGAATGAGTTTCAGTCAAAGCTTAAACCAGGACACAACTTTTCTTGTGTAGCGAGGAAGGCTAGGAGGCAGGATGGTGTCCTGTGCCTAAAAAGGTGAGTGTGACGTCAAGGTGGCTGAAGAGGGGTTTAAAAGGGCACCTAGGGGGACAAGCCCAGAGCCCAGCATCCCACCCTAAATGAGAACACAGGTCTCCAACTCCAGCCCAGGGTCTCCCTGTGGTCACAATGGTGTTGGGGACCTGCTGACAGTGGCACGGAAGGACTCTCGGTGGTGGTCAGAATGACCCAACATCCCAGGAGGCACCTGCCACCAGTTGGCATGAGTCCTTGGTGCTGGCCCTGGCGCTGCTGCTAATCCACCCCAGTGGACTTAGGCATGCTCCCTCACCTGTATGTCCAAGACAGCTAATTCAACAGTACTACTAACCTGGTCCCCAGAAAGGCGGCAGAGTAGGATCAACTTGGCATTAGAGGTCTCGCTTCAAATACAGGATTTCCCAATTCCAATCTTGGGCCTCAGCCACCAACCGGGAAAACCCCCCTCCAAGGGCTGTTTTGAGAATATGGAAAGCTGCCAAAGCTTTATTTCCCATCCCTTTGTAAGGTCCCCTGCAGCTCCCAACTAGAAGAGAAAGGGACCTTTTATTAGCAAGAAAAGGGCCAGGTGCAGTGACTGTCATCACGCCTGTAATCCCAGCACTTTGGGAGGCTGAGGTGGGAGGATCACTTAAGCCCAAGAGTTTGAGACCAGCCTCAACAACACAGTGTGATCTCATCTCTTCAAAACACATTTAAAAAAATTAGCCAGGTGTGGTGGCGCACGCCTGTAGTCCCAGCTACTTGGGAGGCTGAGGTGGGAAGATAGCTTGGCCCCAGGAGTTCAAGGCTGCAGTGAGCTATGATCACACCATTGCACTCCGGCCTGGACAACAAAGACCCTGTCTCTAAAAAATAAAAATAAAAAGTTTTAATTTTAAAAAAGGTTAAATACTAATGAGAAAGGTCCACATACAAATTTTCATGTCACTGCTATTTATAAGTTCTTATTAACTGAAAACACTATGCTATAAGCTATTAAAGGTAACTAAAAAATAAAAATAGCTCTTTGCCCCAAAGACAGTCTAAGTGACAGAGCTCAGTACTCACTCATCAACAACAGCCCTGAGAGAGACAAGAGATGGAAGAGATTCCAACCCCAAGAAAGGGCTGGAGGGGAGCCAGGGGAGGAGGCATGGGGGAGGGGACCTCCAAGAGGGAGCTAGGGGAGGGCAGATGGGGAGGAGAGCCCAGAAGGGAGCTGGGGGAGGGGAACATGGGGGAGGGGAGCATGGGGGAGGGGAGCTCCAAGGGGGAGCATGGGGGAGGGGAGATGGGGAGGGGAGCTCTAGGAGGGAGCTGGGGGAGGGGAGATGGGGAGGGGAGCTCCAGGAAGGAGCTGGGGGAGGGGAGCATTGGGGAGGGGAGATGGGGGAGGGGAGCTCCAAGAGTGAGCTGGGGGAGGGGAGATGGGGAGGGGAGCTCCAGGAGGGAGCTGGGGGAGGGGAGATGGGGAGGGGAGCTCCAGGAGGGAGCTGGGGGAGGGAAGATGGGGAGGGGAGCTCCAGGAGGGAGCTGGGGGAGGGCAGATGGGGAGGGGAGCTCCAGGAGGGAGCTGGGGGAGGGGAGATGGGGAGGGGAGCTCCAGGAGGGAGCTGGGGGAAAAGGGCTTGGGGAGGGTAGCTCAATGACGGGACGTGGGGATGGGGAGCTAAGGAGGAGATCTGGGAGAGGGGAGCTTGGGGAGGGGAGATGGGGGAGGGGAGATGGGGGAGGAAAGCTGGGGAAGGGGATCTGGGAGAGGGAAGCTTGGGGAGAGGATCTAGGGAGGGGAGCTGGGGGTGGGGAGATGGGGAGGAGAAATGGGAGAGGAGCTTGGGGAGGGGGATCTAGGGAGGAAATCTGGGGCAAGGGAGCTGAGGGAGGGGAACTTGGGGAGGGGATTTAGGGAGGGGAGCTGGGGGAAGGGGAGCTCAGAGAGGGGACTTCAGGGAGGGGAGATGGGAGAGGGGATTGGGGAGGGATGGTTAGGGATGGGATCTAGGGAGGGGATTTGGGGGAGGGAAGCTTGGGGAGGGGATCTGGGGGAGGGGAGTGGGGAAGAGAGATGGGGAGTCGGGGGAGGGGAACCTGGAGGGAGGGATCTGGGGAAGGGGATTTTGGGGAGGAGAACAGGTGGAGAGAGGAGCTGGTGGGGAGGGCAGTTGGGGGCAGGCATCTGGGGGAGATTTGGGGGGAAGGGAGCTGGGCGCCCACAGGAGCCGCTGTGAGGTGGGCAAGCCCCTCTTTCAGTTCCTCCTCGACAGTCAGTCTCCAGACTTCCACTCCACCCCTCCCTGCTTCCACCCAGACAGTCTGATCTGCAACTCGGCCCATGACTGCCCCCATTGGGAATCCAGCTGCTTCTAGCCTGGGAACCCTGACGTGGGCCCTGACCTGACCAATCAAAAACCCCAGGGTGATGGAGCAAATGTGTCCTGTATCTTGAGCATAACATTAAAAGTGAGGACCCAGCAGAAGTCCCCCAGCGAGGACCCAGAAATAAGGAATCTCTTTGATTCTTGCAGGCTAGTGTTTCCCTACCCACATAATCTTTAGAAATCATGTGTGCCGTAATAAAAGTGAGTATTTCCCCTCCCTTCACTCAAGCACACAGAAACATCGGAGAAAAGCTGAGCATATTTCTACCAGTTCTGCATATGAGTTTGACCAGAACACCCTGCTGTCGGTAATGAATGGTTGACCCCAATTTCTGAACACATATTTCCTTTTCCAATTAATTTTCCTTCCCCTCATGAGATAAAACAGACTATTTTTTTTTAAAGAACAATATTCCTGAAAATTTATTTACTTTTTTTAAAACTATGAGGTCAGAGTTTAAGACTGGCTCCTTGGTATGAAGGAATACATGATATTAATATAACAAAGGGCTGAATCTTCCATAAATCAACAAAACACCCAAACAAAGGCAGAACTTAATTTTTGGCAAAGAAAAAACAAAAATGTTTTTGGTGTCCATTAGTGAATACATCAGCTGAGGACTGCCATCTTGGAATCTTTTAAATGAGCAGAGCTAAAGATTTCTCATAAGCACAATTAAAGCACCCTGAATTGATACCTTTAGGGGGTTGAGTATCTGTTTCAAATCAGCAAAGTGCTTACCGCAAAAGGAACACCTTACCAAAAGCAAGATGAAAAAGTGAGGGCAGAGTGTCATGATTATTACTTTTTTTTTTAAGCAGAAGAATAGTCTGCAAGAAAATACATAAAAATGCTCAAGTTAGGCCGGGCACAGTAGCTCATGACTGTAATCCCAGTACTTCAGGAGGCCAAGCAGGAAGATGTCTTGAGGCCAGGAGTCCAAGACCAGCCTGGGCAACACAGCAAGACCTTGTCTCTATTAGAAAATAATAAGTTACCAAAAAATGCTCAAAATGGTAATGTAAGGGTGGTAGAATAATGGCAATTATTTTCCTTCTTTTCCAAGCGTTATATAATATTATTAAAGTGGCTAGACATATGTATGGATTTTAAAGCACTTCAGTTTTATGTGTTTTAGGTATAATTTCTAAAGCACTAAAAAATTGGCATATTCTTTTTTTTTTTTTTTTAAGACGGAGTTTTGCTCTGTCGCCAGGCTGGAGTGCAGTGGCGCAATCTTGGCTCACTCTGCCTCCCGGGTTCAAGCGATTCCCCCGCCTCAGCCCCCCAAGTAGCTGGGACTACAAGCACACACTACCACGCCCGGTTAATTTTTTCTGTTTTTTTAGTAGAGACAGGGTTTCACCATGTTGGCCAGGATGGTCTCGATCTCCTGACCTTGTGATCCACCCGCCTCAGCCTCCCAAAGTGCTGGAATTACAGGCGTGACCCACCGCACCCAGCCCAAAATTGGCATATTCTTTTTGAACGTTTTCCCTTTGGGAGAGGAACAAGAGCATTCCTTACCTGCTTGGGAGAAAGACTTAGGAACAAGAATTGAAAGTCTGCTTACCTGAGGTTTAATTTTCGATCTTCTTCGCTGCCAGCCTCCAACTACAGAGAAAGAAAGAGAATATCACACCACAGGCACCACTGTCAACACGCCTCGGGCGGCAGTCTCACATTTTCTACCCCGGTACTGGAAAAAGATAAAGATATCCAGGAAACCTAGCTACTTCTAAACAGCCGTGCCCTTTCCTCACCAATCCCGGTCTGTCCCTTGGAGTCATTTCCGTGGGGGAATTTTCAGGTTTCCAAATGTTGACCCACATTCCTGCCGCAGTCCAGGGGATGGAGTCCTGTTAGCTCAACATTTCCTATCTGGTGTTGTTACCCAGCACGGTCTTTTAGCCCTCAGCCCTCAACTTTCCGAGGTTGTTCTGGACCTTATCCTGTTTTTCTCTTTTAAGGGGAGGGGGTCATGTTTAAAGAGAATCCACTTCCTCCGCAGAGCCAGGCAATAACAGCTGAGTGATGAACACCATTTTCAAAAAACCAACCCAGGCAAGACTTGCACAGTGGAAGGTGGCCAGGAATCAGGCCGTCTGTTTGTGGGTCTTGAAAGCTCTTGATGGTTCTCGAAAAGACTTAAACATTTGATACGAAACATCCTAGGCTATCGGTTTATTTATATAAATGCAAGAAAGAGATATTTAATATTTTCTGAAATCTAAAAGGCCACGAGTTTGGGCTCCAGAAGTACCTATGACTTATTTTTATTTTTTTTCTTTCAGAGAGCAAACTGAAAATAAGAAGGAAACACATACACACCCCCCAAACAACTCCGCACCGCTGGGACTTGGCATGTTTTTTATGTTGCACAGAGGCGCCCATTGAATGGGAAAGAGAAACCTGGAAAGCTGTGATGGCTGGGAGAGATGCAGGGCTGATCGAGGACAGAAATGAGGCAGGAGCCAAGGGCGAAGGAAAAAGGGTCCAGAGATAATGTAGGGAGGGGCCTGGGCAGCAAGGGACACCCACCAGGAGGTGGCAACTTCAACCAAGAATGAGTACACCAGCCCGGCGCAGTGGCTCACACCTGGAATCCCAGCACTGCAGGAGGCCGAGGTGGGCGGATCACCTGAGGTCAGGAGTTCGAGACCAGCCTAGCCAACAAGGTGACACGCTGTCTCTACTAAAAATACAAAAATTAGCCAGGCACGGTGACATGTACCTGTAATCCCAGCTACCTGGGAGGCTGAGGCAGGAGAATCACTTGAACCCAGGAGGCGGAGGTTGCAGTGAGCCGAGATTGCACCACTGCACTCCAGCCTGGTGAAAGAGCAATACTTCGTTTCAAAAAAAAAAAAAAAGCGTACACCAGAGGGCCTGGGAGTCCCTACATCATATTAAGATGAAGTACATACAAGATTCTGCAGAGGCACCTACCCCACACTGAAGGAGAAGTGGAAAGAGCAGGGAAGGCTTCAATGACCACAAAACAAGTCACAAGAGCAACAAATTGACAAAGAGTATGTTGGGGTCTAACCCAGTGGTTCTCAATGCGGAGCAAGTTCTCTCAACAGGAGACATTGGAAGATGTCTGGAGGCATTTTTCTGGAGGTCACTACTGGCACCTAGTGGGTAGAGGACAGGATCCCACAACACACAGGATGGTCCCCCCACAAGAGAGAATGTTCTGGTCCCAAGTATCAACAGTGGGTTGAGAAACTCTGGTCCAATCCAAAAAAGTGCCTGGAGATCTGCCCATGAAAATTAGTCACTTTGAATGTTTCTCAGAAATAACAATGTTATGATCCATTCCTGAAAATTATTGATTTATCTATTCTTGTGCTCTGCCTGTTCACACAAAGGAACTGAGATAAGATTCACAGGAAAATGACATAAGTGACATAATCAAAGACTGGGAAAAAAAGAAAATTAAAAGAGAAAAGAGAGCCTTAGGACTGAGGGCTGTGATCCCCCGTTTCCCACGCCGGCAGCAGGCCTGGCTGTGTCAGGAAAGCACTGCCCTAAGTGTCTGACTCATTATGAAGTTGCAATTTGAAGAGTGATGACGTGACTTGGGGGTACGGACTTCACAATCATTTAACTCTCGGTCACTCTCTGAGGTTCTCAGATGAAAGGCCATCTCAGGTCAGTTATTCCAGGGAAACTACATCTGCCAAGGAACACATGAAAGAGGTAATTCAGTCCTTTTAGATGAGCCAGGGCCCACACACAGGAAGCAACTCAAGCGAGGGCGGACCAGGGCAGAACCGGCCTGGCCTAGGTCTCCTGACCCCATACACACTTGCTGTCTCCATCCCACCTTGCTTCTCACCTCAACACATCTGAACGAGGGCCTTGCCTTCGGGAAACATCCCAGCGCATTCAAAGCCAAGCAATGAATGCTGCAGCTTTGCTATGATCAAATAAAAGCTGCCTGAGTTTTACTTTATGTTTATCAGGGTCATTGGCACTTGGTAAAAATAATGCTTTATATAATAATTGAAAATGTATCTAGTAGACACAACACAAATGTCCAACAAAATGTGGTACATCCATACAATGGAGTATTATACAGCCATGAAAAGGAATGAAGTACTGCCACATGCTACAATATGCATGAACTTTGAAAACGTGATGCTGAGTCAAAGAAGCCAGACACAAAAGGCCACACAGGGTGTGATTCCATTTATATAAAATGTCCAGAATAAGCAAATCCATAGATACAGAAAGTAGATTAGTGGTTGCCTAAGGTTAGGGAGAATGGGGCAGGGGGAGGCTGCAGGTGAGGGCTAACGGGTACAGGGTTCCTATTTTGGGGAGGATGAAAATGTTCTGGAATTAGATGGTGGTGGTTGCACAATCTCATGTATATACTAAAAACCACTGAATTGTACACTTTAAAATGGCAAATTTATGGTATGTAACTAAAAAATAATAAGACCTTAAAATGCGTAAGACAAGAACAGATTAGGTTGCAAGTAACTCTAGGAACATGGGGTTTTGAATCAGAAATCTGGGCTGACAGGTTCAGCCTGAAGCCAACCTCTCCCCTTACCTCACATAAACTTTTGTGATGAGAACCTGAGATTAAGTGCATAAATTGCCAGACAGCAGTGACCGGAACAGAAAACAGCCCCTCCTCGCTGTGGGAAGGAAAGGCGCTCCTGCAACCTAACTTCTCAGTAGCAGGCTATTGATCGCCAGTGTTCTTTTGCCTCTAATCAGCGTGTAGAGGGGGATTACTAGAACCTTCTGTGTATAGATAACTCATGAATGGCCTCTCCTCTCCAAGGAGGGGGCTGTGAAGGTTCAACTTCCCAGCCACTCTGAAAATGTCCCTGCCAATCCCAGCAAAACAAGGCTGAAGAACTACCCTACCAGGAGACAGGGCTGTCAAGCCAAATGCAAACATTATTCTCTTGTCTCTCTCAGACACACAAACCTCCCCCGTGTTATCAGTCAACTTCCCCCACTCCCTCCCACAAAGAAAGGGGCTGAAGAGCCCAGATGCTGGCTGCGGAACTTCCTGGGCCTGGGACCGCAGGGCCGCTCCTCCAGTCTTCTCTAAACACAGCTAAGGGTCTGCAGGCGGACACTCAGCCTTGTTATAGGTAAGAGTTTAGACCAGAGGCCTTGACGGGTTCTTCAAGAGATGGTGGGCAAGATTGCGCGACCAGAGGGTCATCCCTGCAGCTACAGAGGGCTGACCTGCTCAGAGGCCCAAGGCCCCAGCCTAGGACAAGCCAGGCCAACCCTGCAGGCTAAGAGGGCAACAGTGCCCTCAATCAACCCCAGAGGAAAAAGTGGCCAGGCAAACGGACCTGGGCCACACACAGACCCACAAAAACGCGCACAGTGCCAGGACACGCAACCCAGGAATGCACCTATGCAATCACCCAGAATGGGTCACAGCCACACAGAAAGATAGATGCACATAAACACACAGGCCTGAGTGATGTTACAGAAAGGAAAAGCCAGACTAAGGCTGCACGCACAGACGTGAAACACAGCCACACAGAGCCCACAGCACGCTCGGTCACCGTCACACAGTGACACGGGCACGCCTACAGACAGAACTCCAGAGGCGGCAGGCGGGGAAACAATCTCACACGTTTGTAGGGGCACTCCCAGATGCCTGTCTCACGCTGGCACAGTCCCCGGACGGCAGGTCAGCAACAGTCACATCTCACATCGCACAGCCAGGCATACAGGCAAAGGGCCTAGAACTACCCCGGCCACAGGTCTCAGAACCAGCGGCTCACGCAGTCACCCAATCAAGGGTCCCAGTTGCACATCCAGTCACCCCTGGACCCTGGTCACACTGCAGAGTCACTCACAAATGGGAGTCCCGACAGACGCACAGTCCTCCCCAGACAGAGGTCAACCCAAGATGGGGGTCACACCTGAAATCACAGTCCCCACACAATCACGAGGTCACATCTGCACACACAGTCTCTGCACAGTCACCCTTAGGGGTCACAACGCACACAGTCTCCGCCTAACAGGGGTCACCCCAAGATGGGGGTAACCCCCTGATGTGGGTCACAGCGCACACACAGTATCCTGCAGACACTCCCAGAGGGGTCGCACTGCATACACAGTCCCTGCAAAGTCGCCCCCCGATAGGGGTCACACCGCACACAAAGTCCCCGCACAGCTCCCCAAGACAGGGTCACATCGCACACAGTCCTCGCACGGTCACCCCGGTCCGGCTGCCCGGCTCTGTTCCTACGGCGGGGCCCCGAGGAGCCCGCGCAGCCGCCCCCCTGCCCCGCACGCGCGGCCCCAGCTCCGGCGGCCTCGGCGCGGCGTCCGGCGGCCCAGGCCGGGCGCGGCGAGCCCGGGGCTCACCTCGCTGTTGCTGGCCGAGGAGGAGGCGGCGCTGGGCGTGGGCGAGCGCTGCAGGGTCACCAGGGCCATGGCTGCGGCGCGGTGCGAGGGCGCCACAGACGTCTCGAGCTAGAGCCGCCACCGCCACCGCCGCCCGGGCCGGGCCCGGGGCCTCCTGGAGCCGCGCGCGGGCGGCCGGGCCGAGCCGGGCCGGGCCCGCCCCTCCCCCTCGGCGTCGCCACCGCCCCCGCCCCCAGCTCCCGCCTCCCGCGCCGGCGCGCGCAGGCCTCAGTGCGCGGAGTGGGCGGGGAAGCGGGCAGGGCGGGACGAGGAGGCGCGCGTGCGCGGGGGCCCTGAGGGCTGCCCGAGGCCTCGGCTGGTCGATCACGTCCCTCGCGCGCCCGACACACGCGCCCCCGCCCGCGCGCCCCGCTATCAGGCCTGGGACTCGGGGGCGCGCGCGCCGCCCGGAGCCCGTACGCCCCAGGGGCCCTGCCCGCTGCTCTGCCTGGGGAAACTGAGGCCCGGCGACCGTGCAGACAGGACTGTACAGCGACCAGGAAATAAAAGACGTCCTGGGGCCGGGCGCGGTGGCTCACGCCTGTAATCCCAGCACTTTGGGAGGCTGAGGCGGGCGGATTACGAGGTCAAGAGATCGAGACCATCCTGGCCAACATGGTGAAACCCCGTCTCTACTAAAAAGACAAAAATTAGCTGGGCGCAGTGGTGCGCGCCTGTAGTCCCAGCTACTCGGGAGGCTGAGGCAAGAGAATCGCTTGAATCTGGGAGGCGGAGGTTGCAATGAGCTGAGATCGCGCCACTGCACTCCAGCCTGGGCGACAGAGCGAGACTCGGTCTCAAAAAAACAAAAAACAAAAAACAAAAACAGTAAGCAAAATAGATTCGCCTGATTTTGCAGAGGTTAATCAAGTTATTAGGCACGTTTTTAAAAAAGTATTTTGCTAATCTTTTTCAATGAATTCTTTCTGGGTGTTCTGAAACCCAGCCAACTCCTTGGAGGTCAGGGAAGGCTTCCCAGAAGAGCTTTATTCTGAGGCTTGGGCTTGAGCATAAGCAGGATTAACAGGTGAAAGAACAGAGAGACAGCTCTCCAAGCAGGGGGGATCAGCGTGCCCTGAAGCAGGAAGAAGTTTGTCAACCGGAGGCCAGCACTCAGGGAAGGGAAGAGGGGAGGAATGGCTGGAGTCTCCATCCTCTCTGGAAAGATCGCTCCGGCTGCTGCGTGGATGAGGGACCACGGGGCAGAGGGCTGAGGGAGACCAGGGAGGAGGCTGCTGCTGTTGTCCCGGGGAGAGGTGACCAGTTATGGGGATGGAGAGGGGAACATGGAATAAGATACCAAGAAGGCAATTCTGGCTTGACTTAGTAGTAGGAAACTTTTCTTTTAGCCAAAATCTCATCTCCCGGCTCCCACCCCCAACCTCTGCATGTTGCACAAGCACTCGCAAACGCAGTGGTCCCAGCCTGCCCCGCAGCTTAGCAAATTTGTCTTACTGCCCAACAGGAAACCCACGCAGCCTCCTGGATTCTTCCCCGTCCCTCCCTCTGTCCTGGGGCTGTGACCTCCTCCATGTTATTCACAGGGTCTCAGCACGATTCATCTCAAAGGTGATTCTAGTGGGGGGCACTGTAGCTTCTACGGAGCGTTTCTAAGAGGGGATTTGTGGGAATGTTTGTGGTTGTCTTGCTGATGGAGGGGGAGAGCTCCTGGCATTTAGAGTGCAAGAGCCTTGGATGCTAAATGTCTTCCAATGCACTGGACAGTCTCCCCAACAAGAATTGCTCCATTCCCACAAAATGTTTCCTGGGTGAAAAACCCATTTATAGTAATTTGAAGCCAGAACCTAACTCCATTTCATGCATCAACACTAGTCTTCCTTCCTTCCTTCCTTCCTTCCTTCCTTCCTTCCTGCCTTCCTTCCTTCCTTCCTCTCTTTCTCTCACTTTTTTTCTGAAACAGGGTCTCACTCCCGTCACCCAGGCTGAAGTGCAATGTCACAATCATAGCTCACTGCAGCCTCCATCTCCCAGGCTCAAATCATCCTCCTGCTTCAGTCTCCTGAGTACAACGGGTACACACCACCACACCCAGCTCCTTTAAAAAAAAAGTTTAACTATGTTGCCCAGGCAATCCTCCTGCTTCCGCCTTCCAAAGTGCTGGGATTACAGACAGAAGCCACCATGGCTAGCCTGGTATTTTTTACTGAATTTTCAGAAAGGTGACTATGTTGAAACCCTGTCTCTCCTAAAAATACAAAAAATTAGCCAGGCATGGTGGCGGGCACCTATAATCTCAGCTACTCAGGAGGCTGAGGCAGGAGAATCACTTGAACCCGGGAGGCAGAGGTTGCAGCAATCTGAGATCGTGCCACTGCACTCCAGCCTGTGTGACACAGCAAGACAGAGAGAAAGAGAGAAGGGAAGGGAGGGGAGGGGAGGGGAGAGGAGGGGAGAGGAGGGGAGAGGAGGGGAGGGGAGAGGAGGGGAGGGGAGAGGAGGGGAGGGGAGGGGAGGGGAGAGGAGGGGAGAGGAGGGGAGGGGAGAGGAGGGGAGGGGAGAGGAGGGGAGGGGAGGGGAGGGGAGGGGAGAGGAGGGGAGGGGAGGGAAAGGAAGGGAAAATACACTTTGTTTTGCTTGAGAGTTTTGTCAAGAGTTGTTCATCCATCCTTAGGGAAAAGGAGGTAATGGATGGCAACGCCTCTGCTAATATTAGAGCATCCCACACAAGGTGCCCACAACTGTAGCTGCACTCTAGGTAGACAGACAGTCATAGGTACTTAAATGTCAAATATAAGGGAAAATTGTGGACAAAATTCAGTTGAGTAGAGAATATTTTATTTCTCAAATCCAAGCACATTGATTATTGGCAGGCCCATGCTTCTGAGATGCCCCTGTGTCCTCTAAGGGAGTAGTGGCTGAGCATTTCCACATTGTAATGCATGTTGTTTCATTATGATTTATTTTTCTTTTATGTCTCTCTTACATTAGTTTTCAAATTTGAGAGTTTGAGAATCCCCTGGAGAAAATACAGATTGCTAGACCCCACCTCCCAGAGTTTCGAATTCACAAGGTTTGCTGTAGGGCTGGAAAATTTGCACGTCTAACAAATTCACAGGCAATGCTGATGCTTCTGTCTGGGGACGACAGTCTGAGAACTACTGCCTATACAAATGCAATGGCCTCTTCACCAAGAAATTCCTACCTAGATCTGATCCTGGTACCCGTCCGTGGCCCCCAATCCTAATCCCCCTGCTCTGGCCGGCCTGCTTTTCCACTCACCCCAACTTTTTTGGAGGCAGTCTCCACCCCTTCTCACTTCCTCTTAGAGCTGAGAGCCCTTTTCTTCCCCACAACTAACTCTTGCTAGAAATCACCTCCAAAAAGCTTTCCCTGCCCCTTAAGCAGTGTCATTTCCAGGATCTCGTAGCCCTCACCCTACCCTTAAACACACAGCAAGTGTCAGTCTGCCTTATCATAATGGGTCCATCTCTCTGTCTTGTCCCATTACCGTAGAGCCAGGAACGGTCCCTAAGAAAAGCCTCAGGAATCAGGCTGGGACCAGCGTGAGGGTGCAAAATGTAAGAGGGTGCCCCCAAAAACTCAATGATTAAGATAAATAGTATTTTAATGCAATATTTTAGAAAATCAAAATTAATGCCAAATCCATGATGAATAAAATATTTTTAAAATTTGCTTTTTTTTTTTTTTTTTAATTGAGACAGAGTCTTGCTCTGTTGCCCAGGCTGGAGTGCAGTGTGGCACAATCTCTGCCTCTTGGGTTCAAGCAGTTCTCCTGCCTCAGCCTCCCGAGTAGCTGGGATTACAGACCCCCACCACCATGACCGGCTAATTTTTGTATTTTTAGTAGAGATGGGGTTTCACCATGTTGGCCAGGCTGGTCTCAAATTCCTGAAATCAGTGATCTGCCTGCCTCGGCCTCCCAAAATGCTGGGATTACAGGTGTGAGCCACTGCACCTGGTCAAAATATTTACAAAAATTTTTTAAGAGCCAAGGTCTCATTCTGTCACCCAGGACTGGGTGTAGTGGTGCAATCCTAGCTCACTTCAGCCTTGAACTCTGGGCTCAAGCCATCCTCCTGCCTCTGCCTCCGGAGTACCTGAGACTACAGGTGTACACCACCACGCCTGGCTGACTTTATTTTTGCCAGAAACTGGGTGTTGCTATGTTGCCCAGGCTGGTTTCAAACTCCTGGAGGCACTCAATCCCCCGACCTTGGCCTCCCAAAGCTTTGGGATTACCGGCATGAGCCACCACACCTGGCCAAAGTATCAAATTTTTAAGTAAAATTGGCATCAGTATTGTGTCACTGATTCTTCCACTTACTTCAGACTTCAGTGTAGCTCAGCAAAGCACTTTTATTGATCCTGTCTTTATTTGATTCTTTTACAACTTTGGCCATTCTAAAGCCTTTTGTGAAAATGGCCTGTGGTTCAGCTGGGCATGGTGGCGTGCACCTGTAATCCCAGCTACTCGGGAGGCTGTGGCAGGAGAATCGCCTGAAACCAGGAGGTGGAGGCTGCAGTGGGCTGAGATCGTGCCACTTTTGACACTCTGTCTCAAAAAAAAAAAAAAAAAAAAAAAAGGAAGCCTGTCGGCTTGACTCCAGTAGCCTCTGATGGGGTGGAGTGGACAAGGGGAAGTGAAAGCTCCCAGGCCTCAGTCAGGGCAGGTCCCAAGAAGCCCTGAGCATGGAGGAGGGGAACAATCCAGTAGAGGCAGCTCTGAAGTTTTCTCCCATGCATTAGAGCCCTTTCCAATCAGTATCATGATTTTTCATCATATAATAGTTTATTTAATCATCTTTGACCTCCTCCTTGTAGTCCCAGCTCACTTTTGTAACTAATAAAAAACAGTGAGTTATTGAGCTATTTGCTCTCTGCTAAGGCACAATGCAAAGTGCTTTGTGAGTGTGTGGGGGACATGATTTATTAACATGTGACTGTCCCCCCACTTATACTCCAAGATCACCTCCTCCAGGAAGCCTTCCTTGCCCCGTGGCTGGGTTAGGCACCCCTTCTCTGTGCTCCTACAGCCCCTGTGCATTAGTGACAATGGCATTGTGGATCTGCCCTAGGCCCATTTCTGGGTTGGGACACTTTAGGTACATTCATTCTTGTCACCCTGTGATTCTCATTTCATGGGTGAGGAAATTGATGCACAGAGTGGTTAAGGCACTGGCCCCAAGTTATGTAACTAAGGAGTGGTGAACCTGGTTCACCCATGTTTTTCTGCTTTAGAACTCAGGCAAAGACAGGTTCTTCCAGGACAGCCTCAGAAAGTGTTGGTGCAAATTAGGTTGGTGCAAAAGTAATTGCGGTTTTTGTCATTTTTTTTTTTTTTAATGGTGCAAAAGTAATTGCGGTTTTGTCATTAATGACCAACTATTATAAGTAATAGTTCCCTTTTTTTTTTTTTTTGAGATGGAATCTTGCTCTGTTGCCCAGGCTGGAGTGCAGTGGCTTGATCTTGGCTCTCTGCAAACTCCGCTTCCTGGGTTCAAGTGATTCTCCTGCCTCAGCCTCCCAAGTAGCTGGGATTACAGGTGCCCACCCCCATGCCCAGCTAATTTTTGTATTTTTAGTAGAAACGGGGTTTCACCATGTTGGCCAGGCTGGTCCCGAACTCCTGACCTCAAGTGATCCACCCACCTCGGCCTCCCAAAGTGCTGGGATTACAGGTGTGAGCCACTGCACCTGGCCAGTAGTTTGCCTGTTAAAGCAAATAACTTGTAATTTCTCCTTAATTATTCATTCCAAAATGATATTCAGAGGTAATAAAGCTCTGATAGGCTGAATAATGGCCTGCAAAGATGTCCATATTCCAAATCCCTAGAATCCCTGCCTATGTTACCTTGCATGCTAAGAGGGTTTTACAGATGTGATTAAACTCAGGATGTTTAGATGGGGAAATTTTCCTGGAGGAGGCCCAAGAGGTCCTAATGTAATCACAAGGGTCCTTATAAGAGGGAGGTGAGAAGGTCAGAGTCAGTAGTAAGAGATGTGACAACGGAACTGAGGGATTAGAGTGAAGGAAGAGGCCACAATCCAAGGAATGCAGGCAGTTGCTAAAAGTGGAAAAACACCAAAAAATGAATTCTCCTTTCAGAGCCTCCAGAAAGAATGGAGCCCTGCTGATATCTTTTTCTTTTCTTTTTTGAGTTAGGGTCTTGCTCACAGAGCTGTCACCCAGGCTGGAGTGCAGTGGCATCATCATAGCTCACAGCAGCCTCGACCTCCAGGGCTCAAGGGATTCTCCCACCTCAGCCTCCTGAGTAGCTGCGACTACAGACACACACCACTATGCCCGGTTGACTTTTTTTAATTATTATTATACTTTAAGTTCTGGGGTACATGTGCAGAATGTGCAGGCTTGTTACATAGGTATACACGTGCCATGGTGGTTTGCTGCACCCATCAACCCGTCATCTGCATTAGATATTTCTCCTAATGTTATCCCTCCCCTGGCCCACCACCCCCTGACTGGCCCCGGTGTGTGATGTTCCCCATGCCCGGTTGATTTTTAAGGGTTTTGTTTGTTTGTTTGTTTTTTTAGAGACGAGGGTCTCAGCTGGGTGCAGTGGCTCATGCCTGTAATTCCAGCACTTTGGGAGGTAAGGCGGGCAGATTGCTTCAGCCCAGGAGTTCAAGACCAGCCTGGGCAACATGGCGAAACCAAAAAATGCAAAAAATTAACTGGGCATGGTGGCACATGCCTGAGGCTGAGGTGGGAGTATCGTCTGAGCCTGGGAGATCAAGGCTGCAGTGAGCCATGATCATGCCACTGTGCTCCAGCCTGGTTGATGGGGTGAGACCCTGTGTCTAAAAAATAAAAGAAATGAAGGTCTTGCTGTGTTTCCTAGGCTGTTCTTGAACTCCTAGGCTCAAGCAATCCTCCTGCCTCAGCCACCCCAGTTGCTTGGATTACAGGCACAAGCCACCATGTCCAATCCTGGCAACGTCTTGATTTTAGACTTCTGATCTCTACAATTGCAAGAGAATAAATTTATGTTGTTTTAAGCCACGAAATCTCTGGGAATTTGTTACAGCAGCCATACGAAATGAATATAAAACTCAACCTCCATTTGGGCTTTAAAAAACATATCATTATAATGCCATTACCCAGTATATTCCAGGTGCTTCCCAAGCGTTGTGTCATTTTCTCATTCACTCAATTCATCCAATAAACTATGTTTGTTGCTCTCCTGGGCACTAGTCTAGGAATCTGGGTTCCATCAGTGAACAAAATGGAATCACTGCCCTTGAAGAGCATTCAATCAAGTGGGAAATATAGTAAAAATATATATATATGCAAATATGTTTAAAATCATATGTGGTAAATATATTGCATTTAAATGAATTAATAGGCCGGGCACGGTGGCTCATGCCTGTAATCCCAGCACTTTGGGAGGCCGAGGCCAGTGGATCACTTGAGGCCAGGAGTTCGAGACCAGCCTGGCCAACATGGCGAAACCCCGTCTCTACTAAAAGTACAAAAATTAGCCAGTTGTGGTGGTGGGTGCCTGTAATCCCAGGTACTCGGGAGGCTGAGGCACAAAAATCGCTTGAACTGAGGGGGTGCGGAGGTTGCAGTGAGCCGAGATCATGCCACTGCACTCCAGCCTGGGTGACAGAGTGAGACTGTCTCAAAATAATAATAATAATAATTAATTAAATGAATTAATATTGGTAAGGGTCTTAGAACAAGATAGGCACTGATATGTGTCAAATAAATGAAATATGATGTCCAATCATGAAAAAGCTTGGGAGAAAAACAAAGCAGGCTAAGGGCAGAGTAATGGAGGAGGCCACTTAGACAAATGGTCAGGGAAGCTTCTGGGTGAGGTGATATTTGAGCAGAGGAATCACCATGACAGCACCACCAGGGAGGTGTAGAAACCCTGGGATCTGCCTGGTTCATTCAAACTGGCCTCCCCACTAAGGAACTGTGAGGTACTTTTTCTGAGACCCATTTTCTTTCTGTCTGTGTCACCCAGGCTGGAGCGCAGTGGCGCGATCTCGGCTCACTGCAACCTCCTCCCCCCAGGCTCAAGTGATCCTCCCACCTCAGCCTCCTGAGTAGCTAGGATTACAGGTGTGTGCCACCATACCCAGCTAATTTTTGTATTTTTAGTAGAGTCGGCGTTTCACCATGTTGGCCAGGCCAGGCTGCCACCTTGGCTTCCTACAGTGCTGGGATTACAGGTGTGAGCCTTCAGACCCAGCCGAGACCCACTGTCTTTCTCTGTAAAATTGATATGAAAGTGATAGTGCTCGGCCGGGCATAGTGGCTCACGCCTGTAATCCCAGCACTTTGGGAGGCCAAGGTGGGCAGATAACCTGAGGTCAGGAGTTCAAGACCAGCCTGTCCAAGACGGTGAAACCCTGTCTCTACTGAAAATACAAAAATTAGCCAGGTGTGGTGGTGGGTGCCTATAATCTCAGCTACTCAGGAGGCTGAGGCAGGAGAATCGCTTGAACCCAGGAAGCAGAGGTTACAGTGAGTCGAGGTCCCGCCACTTCACTCCAGCCTGGACAACAAAGCAAGACTCCATCTCAAAAAAAAAAAAAAAAAGAAAAGAAAAGAAAAGAAAGTGGTAGTGCTGACCTCAGAGCTTGGTTGTGTCAATTGAACAGCATACTATGCAGGAAAGGCAGAGCGTGCTGTCCTATTTACTAATAGTACCTAAGGTATTGGGTTGAATTGTGTCCCCACAAAATTCACTAGTCCCTGTGAATGGGACCTTATTTGGAAATGAGGTCTTTGCAGCTGATCAAGTTAAGATGAGGTCATTAGGGCGGGGCCCTATTCGCATATGACTGTGTCCGTATGAAAAGGGGGAAATTTGCTGGGCGCGGTAGCTCATGCCTATAATCCCAGCACTTTGGGAGACCAAGGCGGGTGGATCACCTGAGGTCAGGAGTTCGAGACCAGCCTGACAAACATGGAGAAACCCTGTCTCTATTACAAATACAAAATTAGCCAGGCGTGGTGGTGCATGTCTGTAATCCCAGCTACTTCGGAGGCTGAGGCAGGAGAATCACTTGAACCCGGGGGGTGGAGGTTGCAGTGAACTGAGATTGCGCCATTGCACTCCAGCCTGGGCAACAAGAGCGAAACTGCATCTCAAAAAATAAACAAACAAACAAATAAATAAATAAATAATAAAAGGGGAAATTTGGACCCAGAGCCAAGGGGAAAATGCTTCCTGAAGGTTGTAGTTGTGCTGCCACAAGCCAAAGAGCACCCGAGATGGTCAGCAAACCACCAGAGCTAGGAGTGAGAAGTGAGGAGCAGATTTGCGTGGCCTTCTGAAGAAACCAGCAACTCGATTTCAGAGTTCCAGGCTCCAGAACTGTGAGAGTAAATGCCTGTGGTTTAAGCCTCCCAGTTTGTGGCACTTTGTTACAGCAGCCACAGGAAAGGAACGCATCTAACATGATCATTTCATCAGCTGCAGAAAATGAGGCTCAGAGCAAGGCTAGGGTTTGAACCCAGGCCAACTAGACCCCAGACCACATACATGGGTTGTTGGCCTTTCTAGCCTGGGAGGTGACAGTTTGGATGTTCCACTATTTGCAGGGAACGGTGTTCAGAGGACTCAAAGCTTCTGCCACCTGGGCCAGGGTGTCCAGTGTTAGATATGGAAGTCAGGTATCTGGGGCTTCTGACAAAGCATCTCTCTGGGTGGGTCAATAGGCACCAGCAGCCAGGCAGTTGAGGGATCTCTGCCCCTGTGCGGAGTTGGCTGAAGCCTCCCTTCCTCTACCCATCCCTTCATTTAACCTGCTTGCCAGATCAAGGTGTTCCCTGGCCTCTGCCAGGGGTGTATTCACCTGAATTTGCCTTTTATTCACTATGATCACAAGCAACACACTGACCCTTGCTGGGCCTCAGAATCTCAACTCTTGGTGGGGTGCGGTGGCCCATGCTGGTAATCCCAGCACTGGGAGGCCAAGGTGGGTGAATCACTTGAGGCCACGAGTTAGAGACCAGCCTGGCCAACATGGCAAAAACCTGTCTCTACTAAAAATACAAAAATTAGCCAGGCATGGTGGCATGCACCTGTAGTCCCAGCTACTCAGGAGGCTGATGCACAAGAATCACTTGAATCCAGGAGATGGAGGTTGCAATGAGCCAAGATCACACCACTGCACTCCAGCCTGGGTGACGGAGTGAGACTCTGTCTCAAAAAACAAACAAAAGAATCTCAACTCTTAATATGGAATGATTAATGTCCTATAAGAAAGCATTGGTTAGATCAATTGGGTATATGCATGTGATATCCCTCCTAGATAGCTCTCAGTGGTCCTCATCTCCTGATATTCATGCCCTGTGGAGTCTCTTCACACAATACATAGAACTGACCTGTGTAACCACTAGGATATCACAGATACTACAGCATGTGGCTTCTGAGGCTAGGGGTCATAAAAGACACTGAAGCTGCTGTCTTGCTGTCTCTTGGATTTCTCATTCTGGGGGAATCCAGCTACCATGTCATGGGGACATTTAGGACATTTAAGCAGCCAAAGAGAGAGGGCCGCATGGCAAGAAACTGAGGTCTCCTGCCAATGACCAGCACTAACCTATTGTCATGTGAATGCACCACCTTGAAAATGGATCCTCCAGCCCCAGTCAGGCCTTTATTTATTTATTTACTTATTAATTGAGACCGGGTCTCATTCTGTCTCCCAGGCTGGAGTACAGTGGCACCATCTTGGCTCGCTGTAACCTCTGCCTCCTGGGTTCAAGCGATTCTCATTCTTCAGCCTCCCGAGTAGCTGGGATTACAGGCGTGCGCTACCATGCCCAGCTAGTTTTTTTGTATTTTTAGTAGAGACAGGGTTTCGCCATGTTGCCCAGGCTGGTCTCAAACTCCTGGCCTCCAGTGATCTGCCTATCTCGGACCCCCAAAGTGCTGAGATTACAGGCAAGAGCCATTGTGCCAGGCCCCCCATTCAAGCCTTCAGATGAGATCACAGCCATGGCCAACATCTGGAGTGCAACCTCATGAGACACTCTGAGCCAGAGCTGCCCAGCTGAGCTGCTTCCAGATTCCAGGCCCAAAGAAAATGTATGAGATAATAAATGTTTATTGTTTTAAGCTGCTAAATTTTAAGGTAACTTGTTATGCAGCAATAGATAACTTTTATATGCTGCCATAAAAATATTATAAAACCATGCACTAGTACAGAAAGATTTTTATAAAATATTAAGTGGAAGAAAAGAAAAGCAGGCCACCAAACAGCGTAGGACAGTAGACCCCATTTTTGAAAGAAAAATGTGAAGAGTTAAAAAACTCTACCAAAAGGGGAAAAAAAAGAGGGCATCAATGGAGAGATGGAGAAGCTTTGTTTTTGGATGGGAAGACTCAGTATGGTAGAGTTAACAACCTCTCGAAATTAAATTAAATGGAAATGCTATTGAAATCCCAACTTGATTCTTTTGAGTGTAGGGATCTTTACAACAGATAACTGGACAAGCTAACATTTATTGGGTATATATGTGCGTTGCATCACGTGACAGTCACTGTTTCATCTTAATTCCACCATAGGAGAAAGTCCCTCTTTATTTAATTTTTCTGAGAGTAAAGTACTGCTATTACCTGTTCCCCTTCCCATTTTACTTAGGAGGTTTCAAGAGGGGACTTGTCTGAGATCCTGGAAACCGTGGAGGTGAGATGACATCAAGCATGTTTGATATTTACATGTGTGCCCTTGGGCCTCCTGCCACATGGCCTCCCCACTGTGCCCTGGTTTCCCTAAGTACCAGCCCAAGGACACATGGATAGGAAAGGTGGAGCTGGGGCACCAGCCCAGTCTGCCTGACTCCAGAGTCCCTGGTCTTAATCACTAAACCACCCCAGAAAAGTAACCGTGGGAGAAGAGACCTGCAAACTAGGAAAAAGAAGATTAAAGGGAAGGAATCTGTTCTGCTAGATATTAAAACATATGACAAAGCTGTAGAAATTAAAACAGAATGGGGCCGGGTGCAGCAGCTTATGCCTGTAATCCCAGCACTTTGGGAGGCCAAGGTGAGTGGATCACCTGAGGTCAGGAGTTCTAGATCAGTGTGACCAATATGGTAAAACCCTGTCTCTACTAAAAGTATAAAAATTAGCTGGGCATAGTGGTGTGCACCTGTAGTCCCAGCTACTCTGCAGGCTGAGCCAGGAGAATTACTTGAACCTGGGAGGCAGAGGTTGCAGTGAGCCAAGCTCACACTACTACACTCCAGCCTGGGCTACAGAGCGAGACTCCAGTTCAAAAAAAAAAAAAAAGAAAGAAAAAAAAAGAAGAAGAAAAAAAAAAACCGGGCGCAGTGGCTCATGCCTGTAATCCCAGCACTTTGGGAGGCCGAGGTGGGTGGATCACCTGAGGTCAGGAATTCAAGACCAGCCTGGCCAACATGGTGAAACCCTGTCTCTACTAAAAACACAAAATCAGCAGGGTGTGGTGCTGCATGCGTATAATCCCAGCTACTTGGGAGACTGAGGCAAGAGAATCCCTTGAACCTGGAAGGCAGAGGTTGCAGTGAACCAAGACTGCGCCACTGCACTCCAGCCTGGGCAACAAGAGCAAAATTCCATCTCAAAAACAAAACAAAACAAAAACAAAAACAAAAACAAACATAGAATGGGTGCTGGCCTAGAAAGCCACAAACAGATGAATGGAGCACAACATTAAGTCCAGGAATAAACTCAAACACACAGGAAAGTCTGGTGAACGATAATAGGAGGTAGGTATCTGTGAAGCGTGGAGTAAGAGTGAGTTACTCAACCAACAGTTCTGCTGCCACTGGCTAGCAAGTAAATGCGGATCCCTACCCCACTGCTAGTCTCCAAAATTAATTCCAAATGAGTCAGTTAAATGTTTAAAAAACCTTCAAAAGTTGCCAGGCATGGTGGCTCACGCCTGTAATCCCAGCACTTTGGGAGGCCGAGGCGGGTGGATCACCTGAGGTCAGGAGTTCTAGATCAGTGTGACCAATATAGCAAAACCCCACCTCTACTAAAAACACAAAAATTAGCTGGGCATGGTCGAGGGCGCCTATCGTCCCAGCTACTCAGGAGGCTGAGCCAGGAGATTTACTAGAACCCAGGAGGCAGAGGTTGCAGTGGGCCAAGATCACACCACCCACACTCCAGCCTGGGCAACAGAGTGAGACTCGTTCTCAGAAAAAAAAAAAAAAAAAACCTTCAAAAGTTATAGAAAGTCTGTGTGAGTAATTTTTAATATGAAGCAAGGGAGAGAGATGAAGCAGGGTTTCTAAACATGACTATAGCCATATAAAAGTATGTTATAAAGCTGGGCGTGGTGGCTCACGCCTGTAATCCCAGCACTTTGGGAGGCTGAGGCGGGTGGATCACCTGAGGTCAGGAGTTTGAGACCAGCCTGACCAACATGGAGAAACCCCGTCTCTACTAAAAATACAAAAACTAGCTGGGTATGGTGGCGCATGTCTGTAATCCCAGCTCCTCAGGAGGCTGAGGCAGGAGAATTGCTTGAAGTCGGGAGGTGGAGGTTGCAGTGAGCCGAGATCGCACCATTGCACTCCAGCCTGGGCAACAAGAGCGAAACTCCGACTCAAAAAAAAAAAATGTTATAAAACCACACACCACTATAAAGAAATGATAATGCAAAAATCATAAAGGACGAAAAAAAAAAGGAAATAGATTTAACTACAAAAAAGTTTTTGTTTTGCTTTTGTTTTTTTAGAGTTAGAGTCTTGTTCTTTTTCCCAGGCTGGTACAATCATAGCTCACTGCCACCTTGAACTCTTGGGCTCAAGCAATCCTCCTGCCTCTGAAACTGCGTTTGCAAAAATTATAACTGAGAAAACGATGACAGTGAAAGAGATCTGACCTAACTGACTCCATCTTGCTTCTAACCTCCAAGCTGTCCGTGTTCATTCCTGGGTGTAGGCCAAACTAACTTTGGGAGGAATTTAGTTTATAGTTTAACTTTGTCAAAGTTTAACTAAGATGTTAATAGCCCATTTTCCAAAACAAACCCCTTTCCTGCCTGGGGACTAGACTGCCTTTGCAGGACTAACAAATTATTATAGCTACCAGATTAGAAATTATGGTTTAGGAGTCATGCAGCTGAAGCCTACAAGATTCTGAATCTCCCAAATTGCTCCTGGAGATAACATCACCATTGTAAAACCTAAGATCAGTGCTTGACATATTTTGCAGACCTCGCACTCGATGGATCAGCTGGCACTACCCAAATGGATAAACAGGCTCATCTGATCTGTGGTCCCCACCCAGAAACTGACCCAGCATAAGAGGACCGCTTCAACTCCTATAACTTTGTCTCCAACCTGAACAATCAACACTCCCCTACTTTCTGACCCCCTACCCACCAAATTACCCTTAAAAACCTTAGCCAGGCGCAGTGGCTCATGCCTGTAATCCCAGCACTTTGGGAGGCTAAGGCAGGCGGATCACCTGAGGTCAGGGTTCGAGACCAACCATGGCCAACATAGTGAAACCCCATCTCTACTAAAAATACAAAATTAGCCAGGTGTGGTAGTGTGCGCCTGTAATCCCAGCTACTCAGGAGGCTGAGGCAGGAGAATCGCCTGAACCCGGGACACAGAGGTGGCAGTGAGCCAAGATCACTCCACTGCACTCCAGCCTGTATGACAAGAGCAAAACTCGGTCTCAAAAACAAAACAAAACAAAAAACCCACAGAAAAAAACCCTGAACCATGATCCTAAACTCTTTCACTATTGCAGTTCCCCTGACTTGATACATTGGCTCTGTCTAGGCAGCGGGCAAGGATAACCCATTGGGCAGTTGCACCTCAGCCTCCTGAGTAGCTGGGATTACAAATGCAAGCCACAGCTAAAAAAATTTTCAAACCTTTGTAGGACAGACAAATTGGGGAAAACATTTGCAACAAAGGGATGATACACATACATATAAAGAGTTCTTTCAAGGCTGGGCACAGTGGCTCACGCCTGTAATCCCAGCACTTTGGGAGGCCGAGGCAGGCAGATCACGAGGTCAGGAGTTCAAGACCAGCCTGGCCAATATGGTGAAACCCCATCTGTACTAAAAATACAAAAATTAGCCGGGTGTGGTGGCATGCGCCTGTAATCCCAGTTACTCAGGAGGCTGAGGCAGGAGAATTGCTTGAACCCGGGAAGCAGAGATTGCAGTGAGCCGAGATCGCACCACTGCACTCCAGCCTGGGTGACAGAGTGAGACTCCATCTCAAAAAAAAAAAAAAAAAAAAAGAGTTATTTCAAATTAATAAGAAAAATAACCAACACAATTCAATAGAAAAATGGGGAAAAAAGAATAGGCACTTTACAAAGAAATAAATACAAAGCCCAGTGGACATGAAACTTTGCCATCTCCTTAGCAGGGCTTGGAGTAAGATGGGGAGAAGGAAGGATGCAAAATTTAAGGAGGCTGTCACTCTCAGGGCCATGTAAGTACAAAGTGGGCATATGAGGGTAAGTGCCTCCTTAAATGTGTAAATTGCTAGAGCCCTGCTGGATGGCAGTCTGGCAAAATGGATCAATATTTTAAATGTACAAACCCTGGCACAATGATTCCATTTTTAGGAACTGACCTTATGGAAACGATCAGGCAAGTGTGCCAAGAAACACATCTAGGATGTTTTTAATGTCGACAAATTAGAAATGACAGGTAAATTCAACCCTACGGACTGACTTTAAAAATTGTTACATCTGGCTGGGCATGGTGGCTCACGCCTGTAATCCCAGCATTTTGGGAGACCAACATGGGAGGATCGCTTGAGCCCAGGAGTTCAAGACCAGTCTGGGCAACATAGGGAGACCCCGTCGCTACAAAAAAAAAAAAAAGTAAAAATTAGCCAGGTTGGTGGTGCATGCCTGTAGTTCTAACTACTCAGGAGGCTGAGGAGGGAGGATCACTTGAGCCCTAGAGGTCAAGACTACAGTGAACTGTGATTGCGCCACTGTACTCCAGCCTGGGCAATAGAGTGAGGCCCTGTCTCAAAAAAGAAAAAAAAATGTTACATCCAGGTACATTGGCATCCTGTGTAAAAAGGATGCCATCCTGTAGTCCCAGCTGCTTGGGAGGCTGAGGCAGGAGAATCGTTTGAGCCCAGGAATTCGAGGCTTCAGTGAGCTATGTTCACACCACTGCACTTCAGCCTAGGCAACAGAGCAAGACTTTGTCAATAAATTAAAAGAAAAATAAAAAGTACGTCACTGTTCTATAGTGGTCGTGGAAAGAGGCTCAGGGTATGCCATATTGGTACAAGTGAACAGAGGAACCAACATATGTCACATGATACTATTTTTGCCACCTGCCCGTGTTTATGTTCACATTTGGAAATATTTGCCCAAAGTAATGGTCCCTATTTCCTGGTGGTGGGATTAATTGCAGGGGATTCTTACTTTCTTCTTTATGCCTGCTGCATAAATACTTGAAATCCTTAAATACTGCTTAATACTTGAAAAAGTGATTAAAGCTAATTTTGTCTGAGAAAGAGAGTGGGAGTTAACCTGTTATTCTGTAACTTCCTGGCCCCACCAGGGTTGACTCCTGCAGAGCATTCTCCAGGTAAATGTTTTTGCCCTGGCCTGACTGTATTTCAGAACTACCAGGAGGTCGTTTTGTTTATCAACCACCCAGTGGGGTCAAAAAGACCCTTAACTTCTACAATTCCAGCCAAATAAACAGAAGTTGCTTTCGAAAGTCTAGGGCCTCCCATTACTAGGATCAGTGAGTTTAGGACTTCAGGGTAGTGGAAAGGGCCTTGGTCCCACAGAGCTGTCTCAGGGCACTTAAATTTCCCTAAGTGTAAAATGGACAGCTTCAACCGTATCAGTGTTTCTCACCTTTCTCTTTTCTTTTCTTTTGAGACAGGGTCTTGCTCTGTTACCCAGGCTGGAGTGCAATGGCAAGATCTCAGCTCAGTGCCGCCTCAACCACCCAGGCTAATCAATCCTTCTACCTCAGCCTCCCAAGTAACTGGGACTACAGGCCTGTGCCACCATGCTTGGCTAATTTTTTGTAGAGATGGGGTTTCATCATGTTGCCCAGGCTGGTATCAAACGCCTGGGCTCAAGAGATCCTCCTGCCCCAGCCTCTCAAAGTGCTGCGATTACAGGCGTGAGCCACTGTGCCTGGCTTTTTCTTAAACTCACTCTCCTTTTTAATAAAGATAAAATTCTTACACCCTTCCTAGTGGGTACCTTTCTCCTTATTCCAATAGCCGAGAAGATACTGTGGAACTTTACTTTCTGTAGATTATATCACGAAAACAATAGTTGTCCCCCAAGCTCATTTTCCAAAATTAAATAATAATTCTAAGTATGCTTGTTTGTACACAGTACAGGACTTTCTGAAGCCACAGGCCACCTCCAGTCCTGGTCACTGATGCCTGGGGTCCTTCTCTGGCTCTCAATTAAAAGCTATAGTGTAGTGACTGAGTACCCCAGTTCTGGACACAACCTGGGTGAGGGTCGCCAGGTAAAATACAGGGCGTTCTGGGGAGGTGGCCCACGCCTGTAATCCTAGCACTTTGGGAGGCCAAAGTGGGAGGATCAGGAGTTCAAGACCAGCCTGGCCAACATGGCAAACAATGTCTATACTAAAAATAAAAAAATTAGCCTGGTGCAGTGGCACATGCCTATAATGCCAGCTACTTGGGAGGCTGAGGCACAAGAATCACTTGAACCAGGGAGGCGGAGTTTGCAGTGAGCCAAGACCACGCCACTGCACTCCAGCCTGGGCAACAGAGCGAGACCCTATCTCAAAAAAAAAAAAAATATAGATACACACACACACACACACACACACACACACACACACACACACACACACATATGGTGTCCTGGAATCTATTTCCTAGATCTGGCAACCCTAACCTAGTTCACATTTGGGCCTCTGCTTCCAGGCAGTGTGACTATAAGCACAGTCTGTCTTTCCTTTTTTCTTTGTCTCACCCTCTTTCTTCTTCTTTCCTTCTTCCCTCCTTGCCTGCCTGCTTTCTCCTTCTTTCATTTTTCTTCCTCCCTTTCCTCCCCTCCACTCCCTCCTCCTTCCTTCCTTTATTCCTTACTTCCTCTCTCCTTTTCTCTCTCTCTTTCTTCCCTAATTGTGTCAAGTGCATCAATCTTAATTTTAAATATGCAGCTTGATGAATTTTTACATATGCATAAACTCCTGCAACCACTACCCAGATTAAGGAGCACGTTTCCAGCATCCCAGGAAATTTTCTCATGCCTCTTGCTGGTCAGTATCTCCCCCAGAGGTAACCACTCTTCTCACAGCCTGTTATTGTCAATTAATTTTGTATGTTCTTGAATTTCATAAAAGTGGAAGTATGCAATATGAGCTCTTAAGTGTCTGGCTGCTTCTTCTTAACCTAATGACTGAGATTCATTCAGGTTGCTATATATAACAGTATTTTCCCTTTTCATTGCTGTATAATATTCCATTGTGTGAATTTTTTTTTGGAGGGGGGAGTTTTGTTTCCTGAAAACACCACAATTTGTTTATCCATCCTCTGTCTCATAGATATTTGGTTGTTTCCAGTTTGGGGTGTAAATTCAAAATAAAATCCTAAGGGTCCACTAAATGAACACCCTTCTTGGCAAAGGGAACCCCAGAAAAACTTTAAAAACTTTGTTTCCAGCCATGATGAGACAGGAGGTCAGGCACACCACATTACACTCCCTTCCTTCCTTTTGTGGTTTAGATACAAGAAAAGATCAGCATCAATGCTAAAATAGAGGGCTGAGTATGGTGACTCACACCTGTAATCCCAGTCCCCTGGGAGACTGAGGAAGGCAGATCACTTGAGGCCAGAAGTTCGAGACCAGCCTGGGCAACATGGTGAAACTCTGTCTCTACAAAATAAAATAAAATAAAATAAAATAATTAGCCAGGCACGGTGGTGCGTGTCTGTGGTCCCAGCTACTGGGGAGGCTGAGGTGAGAGGATCGCTTGAGCCCAGGAAGCAGAGGCTGCAGTGAGTCATGATCTTTCCACTGCACTCCAGCATGGGTAATAGAGTGAGACTCTGTCTCAAAAAAAAAAAAAAAAGAGAGAGAGATTATAAGACTGACAGAACAGACTTTTTGTGGCAATAAGATACCAAATTATAAACACAGCCTAAGGCCATGTCAGGCAAGGGTTAAGTCAGGTGCCCCTACTCTTAAGGAATAAACTATGTTCTAATTATGTTACAAGATTTTTCTTTTTCTCTAGCAGCGAAACAAGCACTGGCCTCAGAAGAAGCAATATTAAAACAGTTACAACTCATCTAGCACACAGACACCCAACTGACACCCTGTTCCTCCAGTCATAACAACAACTACAGCTTTGATTGAACAAGAGACTGAGTTTGGTAACTTTCTCCTAATAAAAAGATCACTGACTATGGACTGCTTCTGGTGGGGTTACGAAACCGCAACCTCATGTGCCTGCATTTCCTGAAAAGACATTTTGATGTGTAGGTTCTAATTGTAATACATTGATTGATTGATTGATCAATTGATTGATTGAGATAGGGTCTTACTCTGTTGCCCAGGCTGGAGTGCAGTGGCACGATCACAACTCACTGCAACCTCTGCCTCCTGGGCTCAAGCAATCCTCCCACCTCAGCCTCCCAAGTAGCTGGGACTACAGGTGCACGCAACTGCGCCCGGCTACTTTTTGTATTTTTTGTAGAGACAGGGGTTTCGCCATGTTGCCCAAGCTGGTCTCAAACTCCTGGGCTCAAGCGATCCACCCACCTTGGACTCCAAAAGTGCTAGTATTATAGGCATGAGCCACCATGGCTGGCCTAATTGTAATACATTTAAATGTTAAGTCTCCACCCCAAAGTGAACATGGGTTGTATGTTACATGCACATTTGTTCATACACATGTGTTGGGGCCACCTTCATAAATATTCATAGCTTCTCCTGTAACCTGCTGGATATATCATTCAGCCAACCCCTTCAGCACAAAGCTCCTAACCCAACCCCTCCTCCTTCAAAGTGCCCGTCTCTGTTCTTGGTAGGAGGCATACTTCCCAGGCCATGGACTGGTCACCTTGTGGGCTATAACCCCTTATAAGAAATAAGATTTCTTCTCCTCTCTGAATTTACACATTTGTGATTTTTTTTTTTTTTTTTTTTTTAGTTAACAGGGGCTATGAACATTCTTACAGAAGCCTTTTGATTGATGTGTGTTTTCATTTATCTTGGGTATATATATAGGCGTGGGCATGATAGATATTAGGATAGCCATCTTTAACTTCAGTGGATGCTGGAGCAAGTTTCTGAATTTCAACTCTGAAGTGGGGATGATAATAACAGCACCTGCCTTACAGGGCTGTTTCGAGATTCAAAGAGAAAATCTGGGTAAGGCAGGGTGCGGTGGCTCACGCCTATAATCCCACCACTTTGGGAGGCCAAGGTGGGCAGATCACCTGAGGTCAGGAGTTCAAGACCAGCCTGGCCAACATGGTGAAACCCTGTCTCTACTAAAAATAGAAAAACAATGAGCCAGGTGAGGTGGTATGTGCCTGTAAACCCAGCCACTCGGGAGTCTGAGGCAGGAGAATTGCTTGAATCTGGGAGGCAGATGTTGCAGTGAGTTGAGATGGCACCACTGCACTCCAGCCTGGGCGACAGAGTGAGACTCTGTCTCAGAAAAAAATAAAAAAGAAAAAAAGAAAATCCAGGTATTTAGAATTGGTACACCGCAATTTACAAAACGTAAATTATTGCTGTGATGGCAGTGGGGAGCATGAAGATATTGGACTAACTTTTATGAATGTTCAAGTGCTCCCATGATGAATTAAACACACAGGGAACTTTATAAGGGCCATATGTTATATAAGTGATACATGACTATTGTATTAAAATTCAAACTAGTTAGATATAAAGTAAAAAGTGGGTTTCACCCTATCCATTTTTTATTATTGAAGAAAAAAAAATATGTCATAGCGTGGTGGCTTATGCCTGTAATCCCAACCCTTTGGGAGGTCGGGGTGGGATGATTGCTTGAGGCCAGGAGTTTGAGACCAGCTTGGGCAAAATAGCAAGACCCTGTCTTTACAAAAAGTAAGTAATTTGGCTGGGTGTTATGGCATGCATCTGTAGTCCTGGCTAGGCTGAAGCAGAAGGATTGCTTGAGCGCAGGAGTTCAAGGCGCCACTGCACTCTGGCCTGGGTGACAGAGTGAGATCCTCTCTCTCTCTCTCTCTCTTTTTTTTTTTTTTTTTTTTGTTTTTTGAGACTGGGTCTCACTCTGTCACCCAGGCTAGAGTGCAGTGGCTTGATCTTGGTTCACTGCAAGCTCCGCCTCCCAGTTCAAGTGATTCTCTTGCCTCAGCCTCCCGAGTAGCTGAGATTACGGACATGTGCCACCACGGCCGGCTAATTTTTGTATTTTTAGTAGAGATAGGGTTTCACCAACATGTTAGCCAGGCTGGTCTCAAACGCCTAACCTCAAGTGATCCATCCACCTCGGCCTCCCAAAGTGCTGCGATTACAGGCAAGAGCCACTGCGCCTGGCCTGACCCTGTCTGTTATCTTTTCTTTTTCTTTTTTTTTGTTTTCTTTTTTTTTTTTAGACAGAGTATCGCTCTGTAGCCCAGGCTGGAGTGTGCAGTGGTGCCATCTTGGCTCACTGCTACCTCCACCCACCAGGTTCAAGCAATTCTCCTGCCTCAGCCTCCTGTGTAGCCAGGATTACAGGCACACCCCACCACTCCTGGCTGATTTTTTGTAATTTTAGTAGAGACGGGGTTTCGCCATGTTGGCCAGGCTGGTCTCGAACTCCTGACCTCAGGTGATCCACCCACCATGGCCTCCCAAAGTGTCAGAATTACAGGTGTGAGGCACTGTGCCCAGCCGACCCTCTTTTAAAAAAGGAAAAAATACTATGCAGTGAGTATTTTGCATGCATTTTCTTATTTCATCTTCGTCTTTTTATTTGATGATACTAAAGGCAGGTGTTAGAGGCTGGATTGCTAAAGCTGACCCAAAGAATGCCTCCCTCAGGGCTGGTTGGTCCCTCTCTCTCAGGCCTCAGTCTTCCCATCTGTACAGTGAGGTGCCTGCAGATCTCTGGGCTCTAAAAATCACAGCTCCATGTTTATCCCTGGCAGAGGAAGGGCCTGGAGTCCTGCTGCTTGCGTCTCTGGGATACGGGAGCAAAGAGCCACGCATCCTCATGGCCCACACAGGCGTCACCTCCAGTCTCTCCTTGGCCTCATCTCCCCAGCGTCCTGGAATGGCATCGGGCTGGCCCAGGGAGCCCCTGTCCTGTGCCTCTCCTTTCCCCTCAGGGGCTGCCAGGCTGACCACCCCCACCGCAGGCCAGGCCTACAGTGCCCCATGGAACGTCCTGACCCTCCCCCAGGGTGGCAGCAGGAAGAAGGAAGAAAGGGGATCCTCTCCAGCTGGCCAGAGAGACAGACCTTCTTGTGCTCATCAACCCTCCAAGAATGCCTGCCCTCCCTCCTTCCCCCAAGGCCTGTCCACAGGGGCTTGAGATCAGCCAGAAAAGTCAGGCAACTTTTCAGGGACTGGGAGCGAGGTCTCCCGGCCGGGCCTGGGTCCAGTCTCTGTGGGCAGTGCAGTGCCGAGCCCCACCCCTCAAGCCGTGCCCTGTCCATAGCTCCAGACTTTGACCCTGCACTCCAGTCCGGGCTGGCGGACAGAGGGCTGGAAACAAGACGCTCCAGAATCAGGAGCTTCCCCTCAGGAAATAGCATCCTGTGTCCCCGCACTGCAGTTGTCTGGTCTCTCCAGCAGTTTGGTACTTCCGGTGAGTGGCAGATGCACCTTTGAGCTGGGGACAGGGGTTGGGAGAGGGGAGAGGCAAAGGATTTCATGTCCTCCCAATGTCAAAGACAGGGCTCAACATTACAGCCTAAGGCAGGTGACAGGAAAGGAGAGATCCAGCCTCTCAAACATCCAGCAGAGAGACCATAGGTAAGTGATTTTTCCCTCCCCAAGCCTCAGTTTCTTCACCTGGAACATGGGGATCATAACTCCCCTCTTACAGCGTGAGTCTGAGTGTTAAAAGAGGTGGTGCATGTAAAGTGCTTAGAGCAGATCTAGGCACATAGCAAGTACTCAAATGGTAGTTATTATTATTTTTGGTGGGGGAGTTGGTAGGCTGGTTCTCAAACTTTTATAGCTTCTGTTCCATTTCAAGGATAAACTCTGCAAATAACTTCATGAGAAGTAGCCGTGTGGTGCAACCAGGGAGAACTAATTATGTTCATTCAAATGCCTCATCTCTGGCTTACTGATTTTTTTTTTTAAAAAGAAGTCTTTCATATTCTTTGCTATGGGCACATAGCAATCAAAGGCATCAGCTGTCTCAGATTGCCTTCTAGGGGACAAGGGAGGTCCTAGGCAGATAAATGCAAGACTGAAAGACAAGCAGAAAGCATCAAGTGGCAACTGCATGCCAACTGCCTAAATATTTTTTTGGAGCAGTGCAGAAAGCGCCGATAGAACTGGGTCTAGGTCCGAATGCTGTCCCATACTGACTGCGTAACCTTGGGTGGGTGACTTCTCCTCCCTAAACCTCAGTCCCAGCCTCCAGAATGAGGGCGGTAACCTTCCCTACTTCCTAGAGCAGTTGAGAGGATTGAGAGGATTATGTCGGTACTGCATCTACAGGTGTCTGGCAAGTGGCAGAGACCAAAATACATTGGTTCCCTTCCTGCTCCACACTTACACAGACATTCTAATCACACACACACACACACACACACACACACACACACAAATATAATAATCCCAGCTGTTTGCATCTTCTGGGATACATACTCCAAGCTTGCTGGGTTGAAGTAATGATGTAAAACAGAGGAGAACGGCAACACTAATAAAAACATCAGCAACAACACGAAAATGTCCAACCGAATAACTGAGCTGGGTGCGTTTAAGTCCAAAAGCTCATTACCTACACGCATGAATGATTTTACCTAAGGCTGGATCTGCCACATCTGACAATCTGTCTCTGGCTTGTCATGAGGACCTCATGCATTTATTTTGTATTTTAAAACACACACACACACACACACACACACACACACACACGTTGCTATAATCAGTGTCAACTTTGACTCATATCTTGAATTTTTTTAAAAAAAGATAATTGACTTAGGACTCACACTTTTTTCCTTTTAAATTTTTTTTTTTTTTTTTTTTTTGACAGAGTTTCACTCTTGTCACCTGGGCTGGAGTGCAATGGCATGATTTCTGCCCACTGCAATCTCCACCTCCCAGGTTCAAGGGATTCTCCTGCCTCGGCCTCCCGAGTAGCTGGAATTTCAGGCGTGCACCACCATGCCAAGCTAATTTTTTTGTATTTTTGTAGAGACAGGGTTTCACCATATTGGCCAGGCTGGTCTTGAACTCCCGACCTCAAGTGATCTGCCAGCCTCGACCTCCCAAAGTGCTGGAATTAAAGACGTGAGCCACTGTGCCCGGCCTTTTTGATTTTCCATTCTATTCCTACCAACACTCTAAAAATTCCTACAGGCATTTTATTTTATTTTATTTTATCTTATTTTATATTATATTTTATGTTTGAAATGCAGGACTCTGAAGCTTCAGCTGTTCCTATTTACCGGCTTGATTCTCAGATTTTTCAAACCATGTGATTTACTGGCAAGCATGGCATTTAAGCACCTAGGCTTATGAGTCAGGCTGGCCTGGGCTCTGCCTCTCACCACCTGGGTGTCCAGGAGCTGATATTCCAGTGAGGAGACAATAAGGCAAGGAGCTTTGTCAGCTCTCATAAAAGTTTATAGATGAGGTCGGGCATGGTGGCTCACGCCTGTAATCCTAGCACTTTGAGAGTCTGAGGCCAGCAAATCACCTGAGGTCAGAAGTTTGAGACCAGCCTGGCCAACATGGTGAAACCTTGTCTCTACTAAAAATACAAAAATTAGCCAGGCATGTTGGTGCATGCCTGTAATCCCAGCTACTCAGGAGGCTGAGGCAGGAGAATCACCTGAACCCGGGAGGCAGAGTCTGCAGTGAGCCAAGATTGTACCATTGCACTCCAGCCTGGGCGACAAGAGTGAAACTCTGTCTCGAAAAAATAAAGTTTATAGATGAGGAAACTGAGGTTCGATTAGGATTAACCAACTCATCCTGGTTTGCCTGGGACTCTGATGCACTGACTTTTAGTCTGAAAGTCTGCATCCTGGGAGGACCCTCAGCCCTGGGCAAGCTGGGGAGGTTGGTCACCCTCACTCAGTCAAGTTGAGCAACTTGCCCAGGGTTACATGGCTGGTGTGTGCCCAAGTCAGGCTGCGAACCTGGGTCTGTCTGACTCTCAGCCTGGGCCATACTGTCTCTTAGATTCTTCATGGAGAATTAGGAAAAATACAGAAAGCCCTTTATTCCTCTGCCTTCTCATTGTTAACATATAAAAATGGTCAAGCGGGCGGGTGCAGTGGCACACACCTGAAAGCCCAGCGCTTTGGGAGGCTGAGGGGGGAGGATTGCTTGAGCCTAGGAATTGGAGGTGGCAGTGAGCTATGATTGTGCCACTGCACTCCAGCCTGGGTGACAGAGTGAGACCTTGTCTCTTAAAAAAAAGAAAAAGAGTGGTCAGCTCTCCGGAAATTATGCAGACAGTCAAAAAGCCCAGAGAGGGGAATTAACTTAGCCAAGGTCGCACAGCAAGGCAGAAGTGAAGCCAGGTCTGACTCTGCCTTTCTCTTCTCCTCTTTTTTTTTTTGAGGCAGAATTTCGCTCTGTTGCCCAGACTGGAATGCAGTGGTGCGAACTCGACTCGCTGCAACCTCTGCTGCCCAGGTTCAAGCGATTCTCCTGCCTCAGCCTCCCGAGTAGCTGGGATTACAGGCGCCTGCCACCGCGCCTGGCTAATTTTTGTAGTTTTCAGTAGAGATGGGGTTTCACCATCTTGGCCAGACTGGTCTTGAAGTCCTGACCTCGTGATCCACCCGCCTCGGCCTCCCGAGGTATTGGGATTACAGGCGTAAGCCACTGCAGCTGGTCCTCCCTCTCTCCTTTTGTTCCTGCAATGTCTTTGTTCTATGTGATTTTTCAAAATGCTAGGAGACAGGAAGGAGGCTGCTGTGTGTTGAGGGCCTACTCTGTGCCAGGCGTGGTACCAAGAACTTTTGCTAAACTTCTTATTTAATCCTTAAAATGACCCTGTGAGATTGGGATTAACCCTGTTTTGCAGATGAAGAGCTTGTGTCTCCAGAGGCAAAGTATGGGGGAAGAGGGAAGAGAGAAGACCAAGGGTCCCTGAGAGGGGCTGTCCCCTAAGCCCCAGTATCCAAGCTCGGGCTCGAAGCTGGAAGGAGAATTGCCTAGAGGAACGATACCTTTCTGTTTGTTGGTTCTATCTCCAACTTGGCTTCTGAAACCCCAACAGAGTCCAGTTCTTGTGGGCTGGAGCCGTTTTCCCTCCTTTATAAAACTAGGCCATATTAAGAATGTCCCGCTGTCCAGGGCCACAGGCCCGAGTTGCCAGGAGCTGAGGTCTGCGGGAGGAGAGTTGTGAGTGAAGATGAGGGAAAGTTGAATTTGGCTCTTCTGGGCACAAATAATTCTCTTGTTCTGCCTCAGCAGGAGCCTGCAGAATATTTCCCTGCTGTGCGGGCTTAAGTAGCTTCAAGGTTAAAAGCTGGTAGGCCTTCTAAACTTCTCAGGGCCCAATCAGCCCTGTGCCCCAAGGCAGGTGGAGTTCTGTGCTGGAAGACCAAGTTCTGAGGCCAGACACTGCGTCTGTCATGCTCATAGCTGCATTTGCTAGCTGCCAGCCTGGCACATGGTAGGTGTGCATTAAGCGTGTGTTGAGTTTACTCAAATTGAAATTAAGTCACAGCTGTACCATTTAACTGGCTGTGTGACTTCAGGTAAGTCACATCACCTCTCTGAACCACAGTTTCCTCCTCTGTAAGACGGGACTGATAACAGCAGCCCCTACCTCATGACAGTGTTGGGAGACTTGGATGAATGGATGCTTGTGAAGCACTTAGTGCCGGGGCCAGCTGGCTCACAGTAGGTGCTCCACAAATGTCAGTATATTACTTCTTTTGCATCAGGCAGCTTGTTAAATTTGTTACGTTTGGCATCTTGTTCAATTTCCCATCCATCCCCTCAAGCATAGGTTATTAGAGGTTGAAGCATCTTGCCCAAAGTTAACGGCCAGTAGGTGGCAGAGCTGAGTCCTGAAGCCAGAGCCCATCGCACTAACCACCGGCCTACCCAGCCTACAGTTGGTCGTGCCCTCTGCTGGGTCTTTTCTATTCCCAGCCCAGAAACTGGGTGTCTGGGGACGCTCCCCAGAGAAAGTTGCATCATTCACCAGCCGTGTGACTGTGGCCAAGTCTCGGTCACTTCTCCATACCTCAGTGTTTCCATTTGCAAAACGGGAACAATGATATTCCTTCCTCCTAGGGGTCATCGGGAAGGTCAAATATAAAAAGGGCTTGGTGGTGTCTGGCACCTTCTAAGCCTTCAGTGGATGGTGGCAATGGCGCTAAGGATGATGGAGATGATGGTGATGATGTTGTGCCTCAACCCTTCCTTCCCACAGGCTGCTGCAATGCGTGTGGTGGTGATTGGAGCAGGAGTCATCGGGCTGTCCACCGCCCTCTGCATCCATGAGCGCTACCACTCAGTCCTGCAGCCACTGGACATAAAGGTCTACGCGGACCGCTTCACCCCACTCACCACCACCGACGTGGCTGCCGGCCTCTGGCAGCCCTACCTTTCTGACCCCAACAACCCACAGGAGGCGTGAGTGAGGGTCACATAGGGTAGCCTGGGGTGCCCATGGACCTAAGTCTGCAGAGGGAGTCAGGGTTCCCATCACCAAGAGCAAGCCCCTTGTGGAAGCTCTGATCTAGCATAAAATAAAGAAAATGCCAGGCGTGGTGGTTCACGCCTTTAATCCTAGCACTTTGGGAGGTCGAGGTGGGAGGATCACTTGAGGCCAGGAGTTCCAGATCAGCCTGGGCAACGTGGTGAAACCCCATCTCTACCAAAAATACAAAAAATTAGCCGGGCATGGTGGCGCACACCTGTAATCCCAGCTACTCGGGAGGCTGAGGCAGGAAAACCATTTGAGCCTAGGAGGTGAAGGTGGCAGTGAGCTGAGATTCCGCCACTGCACTCGTGACAGAGTGAGACTCTGTTTCAAAAAGAAAAAAATAAAGAAAAGATTCATAAATATTAAGCCCCTTGCTCTGTGCCAGATACTAGGAGGCTTTGTCTCGTCTTCCCTAAACTGGGTGCCTGTCAATACCACATGATTGGTGAATCTGGAAAACTTCCTCTGTTTTAATTTATACATTTTTATTTATTTTTTGAGATTGTGTTTCACTCTTGTCGCCCAGACTGGAGTGCAATGGCGTGATCCTGGCTCACTGCATCCTCTGCCTCCCAGGTTCAAGCGATTCTCCTGCCTCAGCTTCCCAAGTAACTGGGATTACAGGCATCTGCCACCACGCCTGGCTAATTTTTGTATTTTTAGTAGAGATGGAGTTTCATGTTGGCCAGACTGGTCTCGAACTCCTGACCTCAAGTGATCTGCCCACCTTGACCTCCCAAAGTGCTGGGATTACAGGCATGAGCCATCATGCCTTGCCAAATTTTATCTTTTTAAATAGAGATAGGGTCTCACTATGTTGCCCGGGCTGGTCTTGAACTCCTGGGCTCAAGTGATCTGCCCTCCTTGGCCTCCCAAAGTGCTGGAATTACAGGCATGAGCCATCATGCCTTGCCAAATTTTATCTTTTTAAATAGAGATAGGGTCTCACTATGTTACCCGGGCTGGTCTTGAACTCCTGGGCTCAAGTGATCTGCCCTCCTTGGCCTCCCAAAGTGCTGGGATTACAGGTGTGAGCCCTTGCACCCAGCTGAATCTAGAAAACTTCTAAGTGGGTGAACATCTAAGTGGGTGGATGGATGCACAGATTTATCAAATAAATTGCAAAGGTCATTATGGTAGTTTAGAAACTGCCAGATGGTTCAGCAAATGGAACACCCAATGAATAGCAGCTCAAACAGATTAAAAAAAAATTTTTAAGAGGCATCCTGTCACCCAGGCTGAAGTGCAGTGACATGATCATAGCTCATTGCAGCCTTGACCTCCTGGGCTCAAGTGATCCTCCCACCTCAGCCTCCCAAGTAGCGAGGACACACATGCATGCTATCATGCCTGGATAATTTTCTTTATTTTTTGTAGAGCCAGGGTCTTCCTATGTTACCCAGGCTTGTCTCAAACTCCTGACCTCAAGTGACCCTCCTGCCTCAGCCTCCTGAAGAGCTGGGATTATAGGCATGAGCCACTGCAACCAGCCAGAATTTTAATTCACACAGCTGTAAAAAACCAATGATTCTGATCAGTGGGCAGTGATTCGGGGCCCAGGCTCCTTCCATCTAATGGCTCTGCCGTTTTTCCACGTGCTTTTGAGGTCACCTCAATGTCACCATTCACATGGGCTGGTGACTGCAGAAGGATCATGCAGGACCACACGTGCAGAGTCTTTAGAGTCCCTTGGCCAGAAACAAGTCACACAGTCACATTTAGCTGCGAGAGGGTCTAGGAAATGTAGGTGAGCTGTGTGCCCAGGGGGAGGAGGAAAAGTTGTAGGAGCGGCAAGTCGATGTCTGCCACCAGTGTTTACAAGGAGGGGTGCTTGCAGCCAGACTGAACAGTGTGGCTCATAATCCCCAAAGCCAGGTCAAGGACTTCACTGAAACTCATCAGCCATGTAATCCCATGCTGGAGGTGCACTCCATATGGTTATGATGGGGCATCCTTCATTCCCTCTCTTCTTTATTCTATTAATGGGGAAATATTGGAAAATTTAGGAGGGAGAAGACCCAAGGCATTTGGGGAGTTGCAGGAGTGAACGTGGTGGATTTCTGGGTTTTGGACACACCCCAAGCTCCTGATCATGCCACAGCCCCATGCCAGCTGACCTAAGGTTTTTTGCCCAGCTCAGGGCATTGGGTGATCGAACTCTTCATGACCCTTCCAGGGACTGGAGCCAACAGACCTTTGACTATCTCCTGAGCCATGTCCATTCTCCCAACGCTGAAAACCTGGGCCTGTTCCTAATCTCGGGCTACAACCTCTTCCATGAAGCCATTCCGGTGGGTGAACAGTTCTTGACCATGAGGGATGAGCACCCAGGGCTGGGGTAGTGAGGGTGGGTGCAGCAGAGCCTTAATCACAGATGAGGGCGGGGTGCTTTGAGTCTCGTAGGCAACAGACTCCTGGGTTCAAAACAGGTTTGGTTTAAATTCTATTTTTGCTTTGAAAATTATTTTTGTTTTACATTTTGCTGTTAAATTGGCAGAGGACAAAGAATCTTCTGATGCCCAGGGGAAACTAGCCTTTGATTAGCATGGCTAAAATACAAACATGTTCTGCAGTGACGGGCACTTGGTGCTGAAGCCAAAAGGTTTCAAGTGCCCCTGAAGGTCCCAAGGCTTTTTATCAAGAAGGAATAAAATACTCATCAAAGCAAAAACTGCCAAAGCATTTATTATGTGCCAGGTCCAGTCCTAACTAATTTACAGCTAGCGACTAATTTAATTCTCTTTATAACCGGGAGGTAAGGGCTGTCCTTATCCTCACTTAATAAATGAGAAAACGGAGGCTCCAAGAAATGGAGTAACTTGCCCAAGGCCACAGAGCTCGCCAGTGGCAGAGCTGGGATTTGAACCCAGGCCATCTGTGACTCCATGGTGTCCAGTGTGCTAACAGGAACAGCACAGCCCTGGGACGGTTTGCTCAGGCTCCTTGGAGAGGGTGGTCTGGCGCTGTGCCCAGAGCCCCGTGCCAGCTCTCAAGGTTCATTCAACCTTTGGCACTGTGCTAAGGGCTTTATCCACATTATCTGTTACCTTTCATGGGACCAAGAGTATTTTTTTTTTTTTGAGACAGGGTCTCACTGTATTGCCCAGGCTGGAGTGCATTGGCATGATCTCGGCTCACTGCAACCTCTGCTTCCTGGGTTCAAGCCATTCTCCTGTCTCAGCCTCCTGAGTAATTGGGATTACAGGTGCGCACTACCACGCCTGGCTAATTTTTGTATTTTTAAGAGATGGGGTTTCACTATGACGGCCGGGCTGGTCTCGAACTCCTGACCTCAAGTGATCTGCCTGCCTTGGCCTCCCAAAGTGCTGGGATTACAGGCGTGAACCACTGCACCCGGCCAAGAGTGATTATTAACTCCATGATACAGACAAGGAAACTGAGTCTCAGAGAATTCAAGTAGCAAGTGATGAGGCTGGGGTCTCTGACACTATGCTCTGTTGTCTGACACTATGCTCTGTTGCTTTCTCTCATCCCCGGGGACTCTCACTGTTTCTGCTTTCTCTCCCCTATTTCTGACTTTTCCCCTATAACTCACCCTCGGTCTTACTCTTACCCTTACCATAAATAGGGGTTAAGAACATGAACTCTGGAACTAAGCTGTATGGGTTAAAATCCCAACACCACCATTTATTAGCTGTGTAATCTTAGACAAGTTATTTAATCTTTCTAAGCCTCAATTGGTCCATCTGTAAACTGGGGAAAGAATAGCATCCACCCCAATGGCTTCTTGTGAAGATTAAATGGACCAGTATAAGAAAATGCTTGGAACAGTGCCTTATATGCACTTAGCATTACATAAGTCTCTGTCATTATCATTTTTTTTTTTTTTGAGATGAAGTCTCGCTCTGTGGCCCAGGCTGGAGTGCAGCGGCACAATTTCGGCTTACTGCAACCTCCAGCTCCCAGATTCAAGCAATTCTCCTGCCTCAATCTCCTGAGTATCTAGGATTACAGGCATGCACCACCATATCTTGCTAATTTTTGTATTATTATTTAGTATAAACAGGGTTTCACCATGTTGGCCAGACTGGTCTGGAGCTCCTGACCTCAGGTGATCCACCCATCTCAGCTTCCCAAAGTGCTGGGATTACAGGTGTGAGCCACCTCGCCTGGCCCATTATCATTATTATTGACTTCCATCCCACCCAGTGCCCCCTTTGTCCTTCCTCTTCAGGACCCTTCCTGGAAGGACACAGTTCTGGGATTTCGGAAGCTGACCCCCAGAGAGCTGGATATGTTCCCAGATTACGGGTGAGTTTATTGTCACAGGCAAAGGGGACTGGGGCCTGACGAGTTAGCAGACCTGTCCAGAAGGCAGCAGAGGGTAGAGGCACCAGATTTCCTGTCCTACCCAGGCCCTGGTACCCTGGTCTCCTGGTCCTTGGTCCAGCTCCTTCAGAGAGGCTACCCACTCAAACCTGGCCTTGGGCTGGGAAGGTAGGGGGTATGAAATCACAGATCTCAAGCCCAGAAGCTCCATATCACCATATTGTTTTGTAGATGAAGATACTGAGTTTCAGAGAGGCTAAGTGACTTCCTAAGGTCACACAGCCAAGTGGCCAAACTGGGATTCCAACCAGTCTGTATGACCCCACACCCCTCCTTTCTTTTCTCTACAGCCTGATGCCTCTCTGGTCTTCTCCTCACCCCACCCCACACCACACCTGAATCCCCTCTACGAATGCACATTCAATCTCCACTTGCATTTTCCAATGTCAGATATGGCCTTTTCTGATAGAAAAATTTTCCTTGCATTGAGCTCAAAACCACGTCCCCCCTTGAACTTCACGTAGTGGTCCTGGCACTACCCTTTGGGCCCACAGAACAACATTGCTCCCACCTCCATTTCACAGCCTTCAAATATAGCTCTGATTTTTACCTTTATTTCCACCTTTTGCTTACTGTGACTCTAGCTATGGCTGGTTCCACACAAGCCTAATTCTGGAGGGAAAGAACTATCTACAGTGGCTGACTGAAAGGTGAGATTTTAAGCTTCACTTTGAGGGAGGTACCTCCCAGAGACCAAGTTGTAGTGGAAGATGGTTCGTGGGCTTCCCTCAGCATGGACTAACCCCCAGGTTTGAAGAATACCCTTAGGCCTGGTGTGGGAGCTATCCTTGGTCCTGATCACCGCTGGGCACAGAGGCAATGGATCCTGAGCCTAGCTGAGCATCAGAACCACCTGGGCAGCTGTTTACACATGATGTCCATTAACAACCTCTTTCAAATCCCTAATGTTTGTGTAATAGTTTTAGATGTATTCTTTTAAGGTTTCCAGATACATTTACATCATCTGCAAAACATAAGCTGCCTTTTATTTTTATCTCCCTCTCTCTTTTTTTTTCTTCTCTAACTGCTTTGGCCAATACCTCTAGAACAATGTTACTCATACAGATGATAGTGGATGGCTTTGACTTGTTCCTCATGTTAATAGGAATCTTGCAGTGTTCTAAATTAGCAAACACTCACTTGAGAGATACATTGGTATTTATATTCACATACATTCATATTAAGGGAGATTCCATACCTTTTTTGTGTGTGTGAGATGGAGTCTCGCTCTGTCACCCAGGCTGGAGTGCAGTGGTGCGATCTTGGCTCACTGCAAGCTCTGCCTCCTGGGTTCATGTCATTCTCCTGCCTCAGCCTCCTGAGTAGCTGCGACTACAGGTGCCTGCCACCACCACACCTGGCTAATTTTTTGTATTTTTAGTAGAGATGGGTTTTCACCATGTTAGCCAGGATGGTCTCAATCTCCTGACCTCGTAATCTGCCCGCCTCGGCCTCCCAAAATGCTGGGATTACAGGTGTCAGCCACCACGCCCAGCCTGATTCCATACATTTTTTATATATTACTGTTTTTTAAAGATTTTTAGGCCAGGCATGGTGGTTCATACCTGTAATCCTAGCACATTGAGAGGCCGAGGTGGGCAGATCACTTGAGCCCAGGAGTTCAAGACCAGCCTGGGCAACATGGCAAAACCCTGTCTCTACAGAAAAATTCAAAAATCAGCCAGGTATAATGGTGCATGCCTGTAGTCACAGCTACTTAGGAGGCTGAGGTGGGAGGATGGCTTTATCCCGGGAAGGAGAGGCTGCAGTGAGCTGTGATCATGCCACTGCACTCCAGCCTGGGTGACAGGGCGAGACCCTGTCTCAAAAAAAAAAAAAAAGATTAAAAAAATATGGAATATATAGTGGCTTTTATCAGATGACCTCAGAAGATTTTTTTTAAATGTAGATTTTAGGACCCCACTCTATACCTGCTGAATTAGAACTTCTGGGATAAGGTTCATAAATTTGCTTTTTTTCATTTTTTTGAGACAAAATCTTACTTTGTCACCCAGGCTGGAGTGGGATGTAGTGGTATGAACACAACTCACAGCAGCCTCAACTTCCTGGGCTCAAGTGATGCTCCCACCTCAGCCTCCAAAGTAGCTGGGACCACATGCATGTGCCACAATGCCTATCTAATTTTTAAATATTTTTGTAGAGATAGGGTCTCACTATGTTGCCCAGGCTGGTCTCAAACCCCTGGGCTCAAGCAATCTTCCTGCCTCAGCCTCCCAAAGTGCTGGGATTACAGGCGTGAGCAAACAGGCCTAGCAAAAATTTGCATTTTAAGAAGCTTCCTGGCGATTCTAATTATCAGCCATGTTTGGGAATCATTGTACTAAGACATGGCTATTTCTCCTAACCTGGGGACACATGACCCTTGTCCAGTCTTTTCCAGGAAAAACATGCCCTCAAGATGTTTTTCTATCTTGAGGAAATGATGGAAATGAGATAGTTCCAAGGGTATGCTTCACCTTCTTTTTGGCTTATTTCCTGTTCTTTGGATGTTTCTAGTGTATTTCTTTCTTTCTTCTTTTTTTTTTTTTTTTTTTTTGAGACAGAGTCTTGCTCTGTCACCCAGGCTGGAGAGCAGTGGCGCAATCTCGGCTCACTGCAAGCTCCGCCTCCTGGGTTCATGCCTTTCTCCTGCCTCAGCCTCCCGAGTAGCTTGGAATACAGGCGCCTGCCACCACGTCTGGCTAATTTTTTTTTTGTATTGTTAGTAGAGACGGGGTTTCACCGTCTTAGCCAGGATGGTCTCAATCTCCTGACCTCGTGATCCGCCCACCTCGGCCTCCCAAAGTACTGGGATTACAGGCGTGAGCCACCGCGCCTCGCTGTTTCTAGTGTATTTCTAATCGTGATAGATGTTTTTCCTATGGGATGTTTAAAAGGAGGGTGGATGTCCTCAGCCCACCTCCCTCCTCATGCCCGGCTTCTGACAAAGGGGAATTTGGCACTGGTACAACTCTCCCCTTCTCTACTCTGAATCTCATCGCCTTTGCTGTTACAAAGCAATGTGGTGGTCATAGGAAGTGCTGGGGGCTAAGAGGCCTGGGTTTGAGTTCCAACTCCATCATTGACTCACTCTATGGCCTTCAGCAAGGCCCTTCCCCCACTCCATCTGCCCAACAAGGGGCTTGGACCATCTCTGGTTTCTCAAAGGAGATTTTGTGGACCACCAGTCCAGTAGGTGCTCATGAGCTGATTTGATGACACAGCCATCTTCTCAAGCAGCATCCTGTGCAACTAACGTCCGCAGAAGGTTGTTTGGGAAAGGTCCCTGTGCCACCCTCTTGGTGGGATGGGGCAGATAGCTGAATACTGGGCTTTTTGATGTGTTTGATCATCCCAGGTTAACTGAGAGGGGAGTGAAGTTCTTCCAGCGGAAAGTGGAGTCTTTTGAGGAGGTGAGTTGCAGGGCTGATGCGGTGGATGGGGCAGGGAGAAGAGGGGAGGCCTCTGCTTCTTGCTGCTGAGTCGGGGGCTCCCTTCTCAGGCTCCTAGGGTCCCCACAGGCCTGCCTCAGACCCTTGCCCCAGAAGCACTCAGGTATTCTGAAGGAGGAAGTCTCTGCCTTCATGTTGGTAGTGGGAACAAAGGAACACTGGGATCATGGTGGCCATTAGGAGCTGATTTATATCTGAGACTCAATGAGTTTTGGGTCTAGAGAGCTGGCCGCATTTTCTCAGTGTCAGCTGCACTCCAAGGTCAGAACTTGGTTGCTTCCTAGCCCTACCGACATCTGTGTTGGTCTTTCTGCAAAGTCCAGGCCCTCAGCTGACTCACCTCTAAAGAAGCACCACCACCAATAATAATGACAGGAAAAGCCACCATCTCCAGGCACCAGCAAAAAGAGCTTTACTGTATGGCTTCATTCAATCCCAGCATCTAAAACCCTGCTTGGCACAAGGAAGGCGCTCCGTACATGTAGCTACTAGTGCTATGTCATGAAGACTAACCTGCTCTGGTCAGGCCCTGATGGACACCGAAGATACATGGTCGACCCAATGCAGTCCTCATTCTCAGTCATTCACTCAGGAACAATAGTAGCGTCTTGCAATGTGTGTGTCCCTTAACTTACTCGTGGTGAGAGTCACTGGGGCTGGGTTGGGGAGCTTAGGGGCTCACGATGCGTGCTTGAGATGAGATCATCTCATCTGTAGACAGAGCTGGGGTTCCAACGTGTCTTCTGCAAATGTCTTGGCAGAGTAGAAGGCAAGAGAATAAAGTTAAAAGGAGTCAGAAGGAGAAAGAGAACTCTCTCTGCTTCCTTTCTGACTTCTTTTGGGAGGTTCCAGGAAGATTTCCCCCATCCAAAGAACTGTTTTACAACCACTTTTATATTCAGAGTTGTGCAGGAGCCTCATAACAGCCTATGAACAGCCATGGGCAGCCTCATTTTACAGGGGCAGCTGAGAATTAAGGAGGTAACCAGACATTTTCAAGGTCACACGTCAGATAAATGGCAGTATGAAAATTTGAAGCCAGGCCCCTCTGATTCCTCATTGAGACCTCTCCCCACTGTTCATCAGGGAGTAGACAGATTGAGGGTAGAAGAAAGGGGAAGAGAGAACAGGGAATACCAGGGTCTTCCCCACCTTTCATCCCCCACTACCCTGTTGGTTGCTACCAGGTGGCAAGAGAAGGCGCAGACGTGATTGTCAACTGCACTGGGGTATGGGCTGGGGCGCTACAACGAGACCCCCTGCTGCAGCCAGGCCGGGGGCAGATCATGAAGGTGAGTGTGAGGGTGAGACCCCTACCTTTTGTTAATAGGAAGATCATTCTGCATGCTTATTTCATCCCTCAAGATCATGGACAAATCAGGAACATCTGTTAGAGGAACCCCCCGGACTGCAGGGAATTGACATGTAAAAAAAACAAACCTGTCCCACCCCCATTGCTCTCTTTCAGGATTTCCTCTTGATCGTGAAGCATGCATGTATGCGCTTGTACCTATGTGGGAGCAGCATATGCCTGTATTGCAATAAAAATAGCAAACATTAGAGTGTTTACCAAGCGCGAGATACAGTCCTAAGCACTTTATTGTGTTTATTATTATTATTAATTATTAATTGTGTTATTATTATTATCATTGTTATTATTATTTTTGAGACAGGGTATCACTCCATTGCCCAGGTTAGAGTGCAGTATCTTGATCATGGCTCACTGTAGCCTTGACCTCCCAGGCTCCCACCTTAGCCTACTGAGTAGCTGAGACTACAAGCGCATGCCACCACCATGCTCAGCCAATTTTTTTATTTTTTGTAGAGAAAGGATTTCACCATATTGCTCAGGCTGGTCTCAAACTCCTGGGCTCAAGTGATCCCCCCACCTTGGCCTGTCAAAGTGCTGGGATTACAGGCGTGAGCCACCACGCTCAGCCTATTGTGTTAATTAATTTAGTGATGGCCACAGCCCTTCGAGCTGGGTACTACCATATCGTTATTGTCATCTTACAGATGAAGAAATTGAGGCACAGAGGAGTTAAGTAACAGGCACAAGTTCACACGGTAGTACGCAGTGCAATTGGGATTGGAATCCAGGCAACCTGGCTTAAGAGCCTGTGCGTGCAAGCATTGTTCCATGCCTCCTCTTGCTGTGTGTGTGCATATGAGGGTATGTGTGTGTGCATGTATGTGTGTGTGTGTATGTAAGGGTATGTGTGCATATGTGTGTGTGCATGTGTGAGGGTGTGTGTGCATGTGTGAGGGTGTGTGTGCATGTGTGTGAGGGTGTGTGCATATGTGATGGTGTGTGCACATATGTGAGGGTGTGTGTGCATGTGTGTGAGGGTGTGTGCATATGTGTGACGGTGTGTGTGCACGTATGTGGGGGTGATTGTGCATGTATGTGAGGGTGTATGTGCATATGTGTGATGGTGTGCGTGCATGCACACCATGTGAGGGTATGTGTGTGTGCATGTGTGTGAAGGTGTGTGCGCATGTGAGAGTGTATGTACGTGTGTGATGGTGTGTGTGTGTGAGAGTATGTATGCATGTGTGTGAGGGTATGTGTGTGCATGTGTGTGAGGGTGTGTGCATGTATGTAAGGGTGTGTGTGCATGCATGTGTGTGAGGGGTATATGTGTGGATGCATGTGAGGGTGTGTGTGTGCATGTGTGTGAGGGTGTGTGTCTGAGGGTGTGTGTGTGCATGTGCACCTGTGAATGTTCATAGGTGTGCAGGTGTGTGTGCTTCTGTGTGTAGGGGTGCGTGTGTGTGTTCCTAATGTGGGCTGATGGGTGTAACAACCAAATGAGTGACTGAAGCATAAGTCTCAAATCATCGAGGTTTATGGAGCCAGCTTGAGGGCGCACCCAGGAAAAACGCGAGTCACAGATGCACCTGTGACTCCTTTTTCCAAAGAGGTTCTCAGGAGATTTAGTCTTTATACATTTTCTTTAAAAAAAAAAAGTGAGAGAAGGGTGTAGCAGCGAGAGAATGATTGCATACTTGTGAAACTTTAGTTAGTGCCCAGTAAATCTACATTTTACATAAGATGAAGGTTTGGGCCAGGCGTGGTGACTCACACCTGTAATCCCAGCACTTTGGGAGGCTGAGGCAGGTGGATCACGAGGTCAGGAGTTCGAGACCAGCCTGGCCAACGTGGTGAAACCCCATCTCTACTAAAAATACAAAAAATTAGCTGGGTGTGGTGGCAGGTGCCTGTAATCCCAGCTACTCGGGAGGCTGACGCAGGAGAATCGCTTGAACCCGGGAGGCAGAGGCTGCAGTGAGCCGAGACTACACCACTGCACTCCAGCCTGGCAACAGAGCGAGGCTGTCTCAAAAAAAAAAAAAAAAAAAAAAATTGAAGGTTTGAAGGAAAAAGGAATGGAGGAAGTTCTGTATCTGGGAAGATAAGCTTGTCATTGATGTTATCAGTGTGGAGTCTGTTGAAAGGGCTGGTTTCTGCTTACCCCTTAGGGAAGAAAGCCTAACTTTGGTCAGGTCATTGAGGGAGGGGATATAATGAGACGTGTCGGACCTCCCTTCCCCCCGCAGCTGTGAACTCAGCTCCAAGGTTTCTCTGGGGCTCCTGGGGCCAAGAGGGGGTCTGTTCAGTCGGTTGGGGACTTAGAATTTTATTTTTATTTCTCATGTGTATGCATTTACATGTGTGTACTGGTGCTTTTCTTCGGACATGTGGGTGAGGAGAAACAATGCTTCAGGGAGCAGGGGTGGCTGCCAATTAGGGCAGCTCTTCCTGCAAGAGGCAAGCAGTCAGGTGCAGACTTGGGCCATAGTGTCATGAGAGGTCTTATAAGGAATCAGCCTGGCCACTCTTGTCAGGACATCTGGCCACAGAGGGGAGCAAGGGCAGCCACATTGACTCACCTCCGCTGATGAGACTTTCCTGCCCTGAATCAACAGGTGGACGCCCCTTGGATGAAGCACTTCATTCTCACCCATGACCCAGAGAGAGGCATCTACAATTCCCCGTACATCATCCCAGGGTAAAATTGGACTGTTCTCGGGCAGAAGAGTGGTCCCCTTCATGCCCTCTTCATGACCCTGCTGCCTCCCCCAAGCTCCTTACTCCCTGCAGTTGTTCCCTTTCAATGTTTTTATGTACTTAGCTATTTTTTATTATTATTTTTTGAGACAGAGTTTCACTCTTATTGCCCAGGCTGGAGTGTAATGGTGCGATCTTGGCTCACTGCAACCTCTGCCTCCCAGGTTCAAGCAATTATCCTGCCTCAGCCTCCCAAGTAGCTGAGATTACAGGTGCCCACCACCACATCCAGCTAATTTTTTGTATTTTTAGTAGAGACAGGGTTTCACCATGTTGGCCAGGCTGGTCTTGAACTCCTGACTCAGGTGATCCACCTACCCTTGCCTCCCAAAGTGCTGGGATTACAGGCGTGAGCCACCGTGCCTGGCCCCTTTCAATGTTTTTAGTGAGTTTGAGCTACTGAATCCCTGGGAAGGCAGACTCAGCCTCGACTGAGGTCTACCGTGAACATTCTTTTGGATGACAATAGTGGTGATGCTGGAGACAAAGGCAGTGGATGTAATGTGGTGACACTAAAAGTGGTATGTAGGTGGCTCACGCCTGTAATCCCAGCACTTTGCGAGGCCAATGTGGGAGGATTTCTTGAGCCCAGGAGTTCAAGACCAGCTTGGGCAACATGGCAAGACCCCGTCTCTACAAAAATACAAAAATTAGCCGGGCGTGATGGTGTATGCCTATGGTCCCAGCTATTCGAGAGGCTGAGATGGGAGGATTGCTTGAACCTGGGAGGTTGAGGATGCAGTGAGCCATGTTCACACCACTGTACTCCAGCTTGGGCCACAGAGCGAGACCCCATCTCAAAAAAAAAAAAAAGTGGTGTGAATGGCAATAATGGGAGTGGGAATGGGAATGGTGATTGGGGCTGATGGTGATGATAATGTTAACGGTGGAGATGACAATGTCACTGAAACCAGTGGTGGTGTTCATGGGATGACAATATTGTTGATAGCGGAATGGTGGTATTAGGGATAATATTGTATTGATGGGGAAGACAGCGTTCATGGGGGTGGTGATTAGCGTAAGAGTTGTAGAGTGGTGATGTTAATGGAGGTGGTCTGGTGCTGATGAGGAGATCAATGTTGATGAAGGTGTGATTGGGAGTGGGGATGGTAGCTGGTGCTGATGGAAATGACACTATCAATGATGTTAATACTGTAGCAGAGCTGACAGTCTCAAAGGCAATGTTAATAACATGGTTGCACCAACCATGTTATCTCAATGGCGATGTTACTGGTGTCGTGGAGATGACAATATCAATGGCAATGTTAGTGGTGGTGGTGAAATGATGAATGCAGTTGGTGGTGATGACCTATTAATGATAGTAGCAAAGACAATGTTGTTGATGGAGATGACAACATTGATGGAAGTGGTGATGGAAGAGTTCGTTGTTGGTGTTGATGGTGATGACAGTGGCAATTGAGGTAGTGATGGTGGTGGTGTTAGCAGAGGTGACAAGGTTGATGGTAATGACCTTTATTCATCTCAGAGCCTTCATTTTCCTTCATCCTTGACCCTCCTCATTTGTATCTAGGACCCAGACAGTTACTCTTGGAGGCATCTTCCAGTTGGGAAACTGGAGTGAACTAAACAATATCCAGGACCACAACACCATTTGGGAAGGCTGCTGCAGACTGGAGCCCACACTGAAGGTAAGGTAGGGAGGAGTAGCAGTGCCCTAAACCAAGGTCGTGGGAGCTTGGTAATGAGGACACTTCAGGACGGGAAGATGCCACCGCTGGGATAACTGGGCAAATTAATTCCAGCAAGGGATGTGGAACATAACAGAATTTGATAATGTACAGGGAAGTTCTTGCTATGGGCTAATGAATCCTGTCTGGCCATGGCTGAGAGCCCTTGGTTTTCACATTTGTCTGCGAGTGATGATGACAGTAGTGATGGTGATGAGGATGAGTTGGTACTGATGGTGAGGAAAATGCTGAGAATGGTAATAGTGATGGTGATAAGGTGGTGACAGTTGTTAAAATTATGGTGGTGGCTGATGGTGAGGGTAGTGGTTGATGATGGAATTGGTGGAAAGGTGGAAGCAGTAATGGTAATGATGTTGGTAGCTGATAAAGATGGTGTTGGTGGTAGTGGTGATTGATAAAGATGACTGTGATTATATTAGTGGTGGTGGTGATGAGATTCTAAAAGCTAACTCCCTACTACCTAAAAATGGCAGCAGGAAAAAAAAATCCAGAAATGAGTGATCAGCACTTTTCTTTCCAGAATGCAAGAATTATTGGTGAACGAACTGGCTTCCGGCCAGTACGCCCCCAGATTCGGCTAGAAAGAGAACAGCTTCGCACTGGACCTTCAAACACAGAGGTATGCTCCCATGGCAAGGAAAGTAATGCCCTCTTCCACTCCTCAGATGGCTCTGGCATTTTCAGGGAACAGTCATGTCTGATCTCAAGTTCCACACAGGCTCCATAGCAGGCAGGGGCAGTGGTGGCTAATATCCCCTCCTCTATAAATGGGGAAACTGAGGCTCAATGATGGTTAAGGACCTGCTCAAGGTTACATAGAGGGGCAGTGGTGATGTTAATGGAGGTGGTGCTGATGAGATCAATGTTGATAATGGTGTGACTGGGAGTGGGGATGGTAGCTGGTGCTGATGGAAATGACACTATCAAGTATGTTAGTACCACAGCAGAGGTGACGATCTCAAAGGCAGTGTTAACATGGCTGCACTAACTGTCTCATTGGCAATATTAATCGTGTGGCAGAGATGACAGTATCAATGGCAGTGTTAATGATGGTGGTGAAATGGTGAATGGGGTTGGTTTTCTAAAGTCTGTGGTCAAATAACAGGAAAATGTGTACTTACTGGATGTGTACTTCGTGTCAGACACAGCAGCAAGTCCATTACATGAATGACCTTATTAAATCTCCTCTGGAGCTCTTTGGGATAGGGACAGTTCTCCCTATGCTTCGGATGAGGAAACTGGGGTGAATTAAGAGGTGAAGTCACTTGCCCAAGTCAGACCACTGGTGGAAGGCAGGGCTGGGATGTGATTTGAATTTGACTCCAAGGCTATTTCCAGATATCCATTTTGTGGCTGCCCCATCATCTCTTGCAACTGTTCCAGGGGGTCCCCACCATTCCACCCCGGTGCCAAGAGAAGCTCAGGTGGCATCTGGCTTTGCCCAGGACTCTTCGGGAGGCTCCTGAGTCTTCCAGGGCAGAAGAGCTTCATCTATTCTTTCCACTGTCCCTCTCGGACCTGGCCACCTTCTCTCTTGCCTCTCCTAGGTCATCCACAACTATGGCCATGGAGGCTACGGGCTCACCATCCACTGGGGATGTGCCCTGGAGGCAGCCAAGCTCTTTGGGAGAATCCTGGAAGAAAAGAAATTGTCCAGAATGCCACCATCCCACCTCTGAAGACTCCAGTGACTGCTGCCTCCCCCCACAAGAACTCCCTTCTCCCCTCAGCCAATGAATCAATGTGCTCCTTCATAAGCCATTGCTTCTCCCTCACTTCTTTCCTCAAAGAAGCATGAGGTGAGAGAAAGCCACAAAGTCAGTGCCTGGAGAAGGGTTCAGCCCAACATGGGGCCCCTCTCATCACTGAAATCCCTCTACCTTCTCTGGGTCTGGCATTATAAAGAACAGCTGAGGCTGTCATTCCATGAGTCTTCAGAAGAAAGGACAGCTCAGAAAATCAAAGAGGCCAACTGCCCAGAGCCACAGAAAATGGAGGATAATTGAGGCTAAGTAACCTGATTACAAGTTGTACTAACATATTAAAGGTTCTGAAAAGTCCTGCAGCAAAGACAACTATCTGATGTTGTTTAACCCAGTGCTTGCTAAACCTATCTGGCTATGGAACTCTTTTGCCCAGAGCACCCATGAATGCCATGACACAAATCTGAGAAAATGCTGGAACAGATTTTGTTGTATCTGTTGTGTTTGTTGTAGGAGGTTATACATACAACTGGGGTGTGGAGAGGGCAGAGAGGTGAGGCACTGAACTAGTAACACATGGTGTTTGTTCCACATCTAGAATTCCAAATGGCATCAGCTATTCACCGAGTGGCCCCATGAGCACCACGTAACCTTTGAGGAGGGGCCACTGGAGGGATCATCCCACAAGGAACCCCTTCATAGAGAACTGTTTTAGTCCATTTTCTGTTGCTTATAACAGAATATCTGAAACTGGAGATTTTTTTTTTTTTTTTTTGAGACAGGATCTCACTCTGTCACCCAGGCTGGTGTGCAGTGGCATGATTTTGGCTCACTGCAACCTCCGCCTCCCAGGCTCAAATGATCCTCCCTCCTCAGCCACCCGAGTAGCTGGGACTACAGGCGCTTGCTACCATGCCCAGCTAATTTTGTGTGTGTGTGTGTGTGTGTGTGTTTTGTAGAGAGTGTTTTGTAGAGACTGGGTTTGGCCATGTTGTCCAGGCTGGCGTTGAACTCCTGGGATCAAGTGATCCTCCTGCCTCAGCCTCCAAAGTGGTGGGATTATAGGCATAAGCCACCACGCCTGGCGGAAACTGTGGAATTAATAGAGAAAAGGAATTTATTTATTACCGTTATAGAGTCTGAGAAGTCCAAGGTTGAGGGGCCACATCTGGTGAGAGCCTTCTCTCTGGCTGGTGCAGAGGTGGGGACTCTCTGCAGAGTCCCAGGGAGGCTTAGGGCATCACGTGGTGAGGGGGCTGATTGTGCTAATGTGCTAGCTCAGCTCTGTCCCTTGTCTTAGAAAGCCACCATTTTCCTTCCCAAGATGACCCATTAATCCATTAACCTAATAACCCATTAATTGATAAATGGATTAATCCATTTATGAGAGCAGCGCTCTTAGGATCCAATCACCTCTTAAAGGCGCCACCTCTCCAGACCACCACTAAGGTGGTGGACTAAGGACTAAGTCTCAACGTGAGTTTTGGCAGGGACGTTTAAGCAATAGCAAGAACTAAACTCACCAAGCATACTCCTTTTTTGGGGGGCAATTTAACATCTCTCTTGTCTTTGGGCTGGCACCCTCGGAAATGACAAACAAGCTCCCAGATGTTTTTGAAAGCCTTAAATGAGCCTGGGAGACCCCATAGCATCTTCATCCCTAATTACCAGCCTCAGCCTCTGAGGTCGATTTTCACCTGTCTGGGTTTCTGTGACAGGCCAGAGCCTAGGAAGCCTCGTGCATCTTGGCCCAGGAGTGCCCCGTGTGCTGTGAAGAGGTCTCAGTTGGCTCCTGCCATGCCCTGCCATTTCCATGAGGGCTGTTTCATGAAGCACCTGCCATGATGCTGGCCAAGCCTAGTCTAAGTAGGGTGAGAGAGCCGAGATTTAAGGTAGACATCAATCCTAACAACAACAGTTATTATTGTTATTATTTTGAGACGGAATCTCACTCTGTCGCCCAGGCTGGAGTGCAGTGGCGCAATCTCAGCTCACTGCAACCTTCACCTCCCAGGTTCAAGCAATTCTCGGCCTCAGCTTCCAGAGTAGCTGGGATTACAGGCGCCCGCCAACCTGCCTGGCTAATTTTTGTATTTTAAGTAAAGATGGGGTTTCACCATCTTGGCCAGGCTGGTTGTGAACTCCTGACCTCATGAGCCACCTGCCTTGGCCTCCCGAAGTGCTGGGATTACAGGTATGAGCCACCGCGCCCAGCCAGTAATTATTATTATAGCTAAAACTTAATATATTCAGTCTGGGTACCATACTTTGTGCTAAACTCTTACAAAACATTGCTCATTTAATCCTTACACATGCCTCATGAGGTAGCTATTATCCCATTTCATAGGTGAGAAGACTGAGGCAGAGAAAGGCAGCCTGGCCGGGTGCGGTGGCTTACACCTGTAATCCCAGCACTTTGGGAGGGCGAGGCAGGTAGATCACTTGAGGTCAGGAGTTCGACACAAGCCTGGCCAACATGGTGAAACCCTGTTTCTACTAAAAATAAAAAAATTAGCGGGGCGTGCTGGCAGGTGCCTGTAATCCCAGCTATTCTGGAGGCTGAGGCAGGAAAATCACTTGAACCTAGGAGGCGGAGGTTGCAGTGAGCCTAGATCATGCCACTGCACTCCAGCCTGGGCAACACAGTGAGGCTCTGTCAAAAAAAAAAAGAAAGAGAAAGAAAGAAAGAGGGAGGGAGGGAGGGAAAGAGGGAGGGAGGGAGAGAGAGAGGAAGGAAGGAAGGAAGGAAGGAAGGAAGGAAAGAAAGAAAAGAAGAAAAGAAAAGAAAAGAGAGAAAGGATGGAAGGTAGCCTAAAGTCAATAGCTGGGATGCGATAGAATAGAGATTCTGGCTCAGAAATTATGCAATTCCAGTGCTTCACTTTCTTTCCCCGCCCCCGACAGAGTCTTGCTCTGTCGCACAAGCTGGAGTGCAGTGGCATGATCTTGACTCATTGCAACCTCCGCCTCCCGGGTTCAAACAGTTGTCCTGCCTCAGCCTCACGAGTAGCTGAGATTACAGGCACGCACCACCATGGCCGGCTAATTTTTGTGTTTTCAGTAGAGACGGGGTTTCACCATGTTGGTCAGGCTGGTCTCAAACTCCTGACCTTGTGATCTGCCCACCTCGGCCTCCCAGGTGCTGGGATTACAGGCGTGAGCCACCGCACCAGGCCGAGTGCTTCACTTTCAACTACCACACAAGACTGAATCCAAATTGTGGAGGGGAGCAGGGGGTGTTGGCGGGGTGGGGAATATGTAGCTATGAAGGGATCGGTTGGGCCTCTTCCTCAACTCTCTCCGCAAGCACACTGAAAAGGAACTAGCTCTCTCTTCCTCATAGCTACATTTGGGCCAAGATGAGAGGACTCTGACAAGGATCCCAGGGCAAGGGCACTTCCTGGTGCTTGGAGTAAGACCCAGGATTTAGTTTTTGACCAATGTGATTTCTTTATCCAGCCTAAAATTCTGTAGGGCAGGGGCCCCCAACCCCCGGGCCATGGACTGATAATGGTCTGTGGCCTATTAGGAACTGGGCCACACAGCAGGGCATGGGTGGTGGGTGAGCGAGCATTACCGCATGAACTCTGCCTCCTGTCAGATCAGCGGTGGCATTAGATTCTCATAGGAGTGCAAACCCTATTGTGAACTGTGCATGCGAGGGATCTAGGTTGCTTGCTCCTTATGAGAATTTGCTTTTTGTTTTTTTTTTTGCTTTTGTTTTTTGTTTTTCGAGACTGAGTCTCGTTCTGTCACCCAGGCTGGAGTGCAGTGGCATAATCTCGGCTCACTGAACCCTCCACCTCCTGGGTTCAAGAGATTTTCCTGCCTCAGTCTCTCAAGTAATTGGGACTACAGGTGCGTGCCACCACGCCTGGCTGATTTTTGTATTTTTAATAGAGGCAGGGTTTTACCATGTTGGCCAGGCTGTTCTTGAACTCCTGACCTCAAATGATCCACCCACCTTGGCCTTCCAAACTCCTGGGATTGCAGGCATGAGCCACCACCCCCAGCCCCTTATGAGAAATCTAATGCCTGAACTACCACTGCCCCCCACAGCACCCCCACAGCACCCCATCTGTGGAAAAATTGTCTTCCACAAAACCAGTCCCTGGTGCCAAAAAGGTTGGGGACACCTGGCCTAGGGAGAATGATCCCTACCTGCCAGCCAAGGCTAGCTGTCAGTAGAAATCCTATAGGACTCAGTACACAGTGAACTCACAAAATTGTATGGGGACACGAGATTCCACATTCAGACCCAGAATGACCCTCTTGTTCTTTCTGCAAATGCTAAGAACCTCCTTGAAAATGTATACTAAAATTAAGAATAGAAGGATCATGGGGAAATCCTGCAACCCACATAGTTCTGTAAATTTTATAGTGGTTGATTTTTACACAGGAAGTCTTCACTTAATGTCGTGGCTAAAAAATTAGCCGAGTGTGGTGGCACATGCCTGTAATCCCAGCAACTTGGAAGGCTGAGGCACAAGAATTGCTTGAACCTGAGAGGTGGAGGTTGCAGTGAGCCTAGACCATGCCACTGCACTCCAGCCTGGGTGACAGAGCGAGACTCTGTCTCCTAAAAAATTAATTAAAATAAAATAAAAACAGGAATGAATATCACATGCACATCTTTGGGGTGTGGGAGGAAACCGGATACCCGGAGAACACCCATGTAGACATGGAGAGAACGTGCAAGCTCTACACAGACAGTGGCCCCTGCCGGAATTGATTTTTTTTTTTTTTATTTCTCATCGAGGTTGTAATGAAATAAGTTATTCGAGGATATGTTATACTTTTCCTTTGCCTAACACTGCTACTTCTGTCCTGAAGGCAATTTGCAACTGGATTTTCAGTGAATTCTTGGCAGCTTGATGAATTTAGAAAAGGCTATTCTTTCCTCATCGAATCGTCTTGGCACTTTTGTGGAAAATCAGTTGACTATAAATGTATGGGTTTGGTCAGGCACAGTGGCTCATGCCTCTAATCCCAACACTGGGAGGGCTAGGTGGGCGGATCACTTGAGCTCAGGAATTCGAGACCACCCTGGGCAACATGGCAAAACCCTGTCTCTACCAAAAATACAAAAATTAGCTGGGCGTGGTGGTGCACACCTGTGGTCCCAGCTACTTGGGAGGCTGAGGTGGGAGGATCGCTGGAGCCTGGGAAGTCGAGGCTGCAGTGAGCTGTGATCATGCCACTGCACTCCAGCCTGGATGACAGAGCAAGATGCTGTCTCCATAATAAAAATAAAAATAAATGTATGTGTTTATTTTTGGACCCTATTCCACAGATCTATCTTATGCTAGTACCACACTGTCTTGATTTCCGTAGCATTCTCGTACATTTTAAAATCAGGAAGTGTGAGTCCTCCAACTTTGTTCCTCTTTTTCAAGACTTTTGTTTTGGCTCTTCTGGGTCCTTTTCATTTCTGTATGAGTTTAAAATCAGCCTGACAGGCTAGGCATGGTGGCTCACACCTGTAATCCCGGCACTTTGGGAGGCTGAGGCCCGTGGATCACTTGGGGGCAGGAGCTCAAGACCAGCAGGGGCAACATGGTGAGACCCCGTCTCTACCAAAAATACAAAAAATTAGCTGGGCATGGTGGCACATGCCTGTAATCCCAGCTACTCAGGAGGCTGAGACAGGAGAATCGCTTGAACCCAGGAGGTGGAGGTTGCAGTGAGCCAAGATCGCACCATTGCACTCCAGCCTGGGTGACAGAGCAAGACTCTGTCTCAAAAAAAAAAAACAAAAAAAAAAACAGCTTGACAATTTCTTCAAAATAAGCCAGCTGGCTGAGAAAGTTTGACAGGGATTGTGTTGAATCTATATGTCATTTGGAGAGTATGGATTGACATCTTAACAATTTAGGTCTTCTGATTCATGAATATGAAATGTTTCTCCATTTATTTAGATCTTCAGTTTCTTTCAGCAATGTTTTGTAGTTTGTAGGTCTTACACTGCACTTGTTAAATTTATTCCTAAGTATTTTATTTGTTTTGATGCTCTTGGGAGTGGAATTGTTTTCTTATCGATGAATTTAGAAAGCACTCTCTTCTCTGGCATGGTGGGGGTTGGGGCATTTTAAGTAGTTCATCATAAAATATTCTTGATTAATTGAGAATGATTATTGCCAGACACCGTGGCTCATTCCTGTAATCCCAGCTACTTGGGAGGCTGATGTGGGAGGATCGATTGAGCCTAGGAGTTCGAGACCAGCCTGGGCAACATAGCATCTCAAAAAAGAGAGAATGATTATATATGATGTATGTGGATATTCAAATATAAAATATAGTAAGGTACCACCAGTGACCAAAGTCTGCCTGAAACCCCCAAATCCTTGAGGAGTCAGAAGGTGCTTCAGGATGCTCTAGAGCTTCAGGGTTGTCATCCCTTGTGCCTCCTACGACACTCTCTGCATTCATCCTTAGCACCCGTATCACACTGTATCACAGTGGTGTGTTCATGCATGTTCCCTAGTATACTGTGAGAGCTTGAAGATAAGGAATATCTCCTCCTCCTCCTCCTTCTCCTACTCCTCCTCCTTCTCCTCCTCCTCCTTCTCCTCCTCCTCCTCCTTCTTCTCCTCCTCCTGCTTCTCCTCCTCCTCCTCCTTCTCCTCCTTCTCCTCCTCCTTCTTCTCCTCCTCCTCTTCCTCTTCCTTTTCCTCTTCCTTCTTCCTCTTCCTCCTCCTCCTCCTTCCTTCTCCTCCTCTTCCTTCTTCTTTTATTTTTCTTGAGCCAGAGTCTCACTCTGTTACCCAGGCTGGAGTGCAGTGGCATGGTCACAGCTCACTACAGCCTCGACTTCCCAGGCTCAGGTGATTCTCCCACCTCAGCCTCCAAGTAGCTGGGACCACAGGAGCACACCACCAGGCTTGGCTAATTTTTGTATTCTTTTTGGAGTCAGGGTTTTGTCATGTTGCCCAGGCTGGTCTCAAACTTCTGGGCTCAGGCGATCCTCCCGTCTGGCCTCCTAAGTGCTGGGATTACAGTCATGAGCCACCACACCTGGCTTGTTTTGTTTTGTTTTGTTTTGTTTTTTAAGAGACAGGATCTGTCATTCTATCATTCAGGCTGGAATGCTGTGGCACGATCAAAGCGAACTGCCGCCTCAAACTCCTGGCCTCAAGTGATCCTCCCGCATCAGCCTCCCAAAGTGCTGGGATTATGGGCATGAGCCACTGCACCCAGCCAGGACCATGTCTTATGATATTTTGCATCCTCAGTGTTGAATAACATGTCCAGGACATGCTGGATATTCCATGCATACTGACCACTTGCCACGTTATGATCTGTAAGAGAGTTCTGATGAATAGACTTGAGAGTTTATGCACATGTCACTGCAGATTCCAGGCATACCAGCAATTGTCTGCACCACCCTGCTAAAGGGCAGGCCAATGCCACCGTGTCTGTACCTCTCCACCACTTCTTCCTGACCCAATTGAATTGGACCAAGACTCAATCCAACACTAAACTGGGCCAATCAGCTTCATTCCTGAAGATCTGGGAGTGGGGCACTGAGCAGCTGAGTCAGGTATGTTTGCAGAGCTGGGTTATGAGGCTATGGAAGCTCTGTGCATGATTATGCATACACAGCAGCCACAAGGAAACAGATGGAAGCTAGACTCATTTCTGCCAGAAAAGGGAAGAAACAAGAGCCACAGATTCAGAGGGGCAGCTGTCTTGGGCCCCAGTGGTTTCCCAGATCCCTGTTCCTCTGAATGACACCAGGCTGTACTTTATTCCTATGCAATCTCTCTAAACTGTCAGAGTGAACCATCAGCCCATCAACCAAAGCTGCACTGCAGATGCATTTTATTGAGCTCACACATCATTTGAACATTTTTGATCCAATATACTAATATTTGGAGATTTCACAGAAAAACCTAGACTCCTCTTTTGAACATTGTAAGATCTGGTCACACTGGACCCATGGTGGAACAACATCAGCTGGAAGGGAGTTGCAGCCCCCCCCTGCAGACAGGGCTGGTGTTTCTCTTGTCCTTACACCTTTTCCATTTCACTGATTTACATGCCCTGAATTTCCCCTGTAGGAAATTAACTACCGATCCCAGTCTTATAATAAAGCTCTGTTCCTTAATTTTAATTATCCTGAGTAGAATTTCTGTTCCTGGCCACGAAAACAGTGCTGATGAGAGCTCTGTGGCCTACACATCCACGGCAGGCTCCTTGCAACCATCGCCCATCCAACAGCCATTGCTATCCTTCTTCTGTGCTAACAGAATCCCAATTTTGTGTTCAGGAGGCTGTGGGTATCCCTTGGTGCTCGTAGGCCCTTCCTTCCAGCCCTACAGCAGGACTCATGCTGGGATGGGCATGACACCCAGGTCTGATCAATGAGAAGCAATGGTAAATCTGCCAGGGGACTTCCTTTTCTAACCAAAACCAACAGACTCTTCTGAAAGAAAACCTTTTATGACTGCTCCTTTCCCATTCTACCTTCTTTGAAAAGAAATATGATGTCCAGCACAGGGGCAGCCATTTTGTGACCATGAGGTTTCAAGCACAGGGTCAGATGGCCAACATGCAGAGGATGGTGAAAAGAAAAGGCAAAAAGAAGCTGGGTTCTTGATAACATTGTTGAGCGTTGAACCTTCTCTGATCTCTGCCTGGTTTTGGTTCTAATGGTTTAAGCCACTATTGACTGAGATTACTGTTCTTAGGTTGGTGCAAAAGTAATTGCATTTGGGAGGCCAAGGTGGGCGGATCACTTGAGGTCAGGAGTTTGAGACCAGCCTGACCAACATGGTGAAACCTTGTCTATACTAAAAATACAAAAATTAGCCAAGCATCAAGGCGGGCACCTGTAATCCCAGCTACTCAGGAGGCTGAGGAGGGAGAATCGCTTGAACCTGGGAGACAGAGTTGCAGTGAGCTGAGACTTCATCTCAAAAAAAAAAAAAAAGTAATTGCAGTTTTTGCCATTGAAAATAATGGCAGGGGAGACTCTTGATCTTATCATTCAAGGCTTTCTGTTGCTCAATGTTATATTAAAAACAATGAATTTCCATACTAATTTCAAAGTCAATTCCTAAGATACTGTTTCATCCCATTGTGAACACCACCAAGGTCAGTTATATGTTTTTCAGAATACTTGAAGTACGAGAAAAACAGAAATATATAGCTCTGGCTACATTAAATATCTTTTGCCACTTTCTGAGATCTTTCGTAACTCTAAGAGAAACATGGCATTTCCATTAACGAAAATAGGAGCTTTTTGAATAGGATTGTTCAAAATTAGATACAAATGTTCTCAGCTAAAGGTCTCACATATTCAGAAGTTTGGGTGCCTTTTGTGATAGCTCTTGTATCATTTGATAATATTGATTTTTTTGAAAAAGGCAGGCTATTTACAAGGCAAAGAGTTTTTGTTTTGTTTTGTTTTGTTTTTGAGATGGAGTCTTGCTCTGTCGCCCAGGCTGGAGTGCAGTGGCGCGATCTCGGCTCACTGCAAGCTCTGCCTCCTGGGTTCACGCCATTCTCCGGCCTCAGCCTCCTGAGTAGCTGGGACTACAGGCACCCGCCACCACACCTGGCTAATTTTTTTTTGTATTTTTAGTAGAGACGGGGTTTCACCATGTTAGCCAGGATGGTCTCGATCTCCTGACCTTGTGATCCGCCCGCCTCGGCCTCCAAAAGTGCTGGGATTATAGGCATGAGCCACCATACCCAGCAGGAGTTTTTAACTTTCACTTTCTCAAGTAGAGAAGGCCCTCAACTGTAAACCCCTTTACCCTAGTCTCTGGGAAATATTCCTGCCCACCAAGCACTCTATCCCCCCCAGCCCCCAGCTCCACTGGGTTATTCTAGGGTGAGGGAGCGGACATGATCATCCAGTAGCGTCTGACCAGCCGGAAGGCAAAAGAGACAAGCAAAAGTTCTGTGTTACCCAGGAGAGCTCAGCTGTCCAGAAATAATTAGAGCTACAGCCACACGTGGTTCAAGGAAATGTGGTTGTCAGAGAGAGACAGAGATCTGCCAAGCCATCTCCTCTTCAACTGCCTGGGCGGAGGGGGCTGCAGCCCACATTTTAGAGACACAGTATTGTTTGCAGTTGATTTAGAACTTGAGCTGGAAGAAGTCCCCCATCATGACCTGCACACCATTAGAAGAAAGTGTTGTCTCCAACAAGCTCAGCCACAATGTTGGCTGCCAACGGTATGTCTTTCCCCACTCATTGGAAAGGAGATTATCACACTAAAGCATTGAGATGAATTCCGATGAACAAAGGTAGTCAGACCGTTAGGCTGGACTGTCACTAGGACATGATGACAATGAATAAACTTAGGCTCTTGCAATGTCCATCACTGACATGTTTTAATAAGAGTTGAACGCACAAATTGGCTTCCTTGCAATGTTTACTTCAAGCAGTAGGTCTGTCTGCTCTGGCCTTTGATGGGATCTGCCAGCTTCCTCCCTCCTTGTCTATGTCCCCTGCCTTCACCATGGGAAAAAAGGCTCCAGTAAACCAAATCCCAGAAGTGATGTTGCCTGCGGAGACCAACTCAAAACCAACTGGCCTCCCACTGCTTCCTTTGAAAACATATACATTTCACACACCTGAGTCCTCCCACCCCTCTCCACTCCACGGCAGGCTCCATGAATGGAACTCCAGGGGCTGCCTTTGTGTAATGATCAAGACGTCCCTGGACAGAGGAGCAGCTTCGCATCAGGGAATCCTGGTCCCCTGATCCCCATGGGATGAGATGGTGGGTGTAGCATCCTTCTGGTTTCTCTGCCCATTCAGCTGTCTACCCATGCACAAAACCCAAAGCCCTGGATTTTGGATTTTGTACCTGCAAACCTGAGTAAACTTTTTCCCCTCAAGAGTCATCATTCAGGCCGGGTGCAGTGGCTCCCACCTGTAATCTCAGCACTGTGGGAGGCCGAGGCGGGTGGATCACTTGAGGTCAGGAGTTCGAGACCAGCCTGGCCAACATGGTGAAACCCTGTCTCTACTAAAAAGTACAGGTGGGCACCTGTAATCCCAGCTACTCGGGAGGCTGAGACAGGAGAATTGCTTGAACCCGGGAGGCAGAGTTGCAGTGAGCCGAGATCACGCTACTGCACTCCAGCCTGGGCGACAGATCAAGACTCCGTCTCAAAAAACAATAAAAGTCACCATTCAGCCTGACCAAGGAGGGGGCCAGGAAAGAAGTCGGAACCGTGGCCTTCGCTGCTTCAGAAGGGGAGGCCCGTGCTCTGACTTCAGCTTGATTCACTTTGGCCTCAGTCCTCAGTTCCCAGGGGGTAACGGCGTTCTGAGGTTGTCACCTGGTGCAAGACCAGCTGTCCCCAGGGACACATCTGGATCTCTTGGTGCCAACAACGGCAACTCCAGAGGGGGCTGGGTGGGGGCATGTGGCTCCAGTTTGAATGCACCATGTCCATCTGCCAGAGAATCCACTGGTCAGGCTCTAGGGAGGCAAACCGGGGGGCCCCTGCCAGGAAATAGCTGCTCAGACCACACCTAGATCGCCTGCAATTTCAAAGAAGAAAGCCTGGGGCTGTGAGTGTGGGAGAAACCTACTGAACAGGTCCGGTGGGTGGACAGCAGGTGTCACATGGGCCTGAGCCTGGACGGTATCTACAGAGAGATATTTTGGTTGTTCACTGAGGGTTTGGCCGGGTGACTCTGGGTGGTGTCTGATTGGTTGCTGGCATTACCAGACCCTCCTAATATGGGTAGTCTTCCCATGTAGATCCACAGGTTATGAACAAAGCTTTCACCACATATACAGAGAACCCCCTAGAGCAAACATCTCCCCATCCCTGGGTGGACCTCAATGAAGATGAGCAAACTGAGTCAAGACACAAAACCCTGTTGGTCCAGGTCATACTCTTGGGTGAGTTCTTGATGTCGGCAGTGACAATCAGTGCCCCAGTTGGGGCCTGCCAGCCCCCCAAGCTCTGCAGCCTCAAAGACCAGCTCAGTCCCCCATCGGTCACTATTCCTGAGAGCCAGAGTTCGACCTGGTAACACCTGCACCGTGCATTCCTCGGCCGACCATCTCCTGGCCCCACTCCCGGTGGCTGGACTCCTGCAGTCCTCGGCCTTTGGTCTCAATGGGCAAAAAGCAGGAGGCCAGGGCAGCCAGGAGGCAGCAGCCACTGTAAACTGCCAGAGTCAGGTACACAGAGGATTCCAGCATCACCTAGGGGAAGGAGACACGGGTCGGTGAAAGCATCCCTTCTGAAGCACAGACATCGCCAACCATCAAATAGTATTAGTAACATCAGGCCCTCTCGTGATATCTGCTTGCTAAAAAGGATCTGGTGATTCCCTCCTCTCCCCCTTTGTCCCTCTCTCTCCTTGTGACACGCCTGCCCCTCCTTTGCCTTCCTCCATGAGTAAAAGCTTCCTGAGGCCTCACCAGAAGCCAAGCAGATGCTGGTGCCATGCTTGTACAGCCTGCAGAATCGTGAGTCAAATAAATCTCTTCTTTATAAATTACCTGATCTCAAGTATTCTTTTTTTTGTTTTTTGTTTTTTTTGTTTTTTTGAGATGAGTTTCATTCTTGTTGCCCAGACTGGAGTGCAATGGCGCAATCTTGGCTCACCGCAACCTCCGCCTTCAGGGTTCAAGCGATTCTCCTCCCAAGTAGCTGGGATTACAGGCTTCTGCCACCACGCCCGGCTAATTTTGTATTTTTAGTAGAGATGGGGTTTCTCCATGTTGGTCAGGCTGGTCTCGAACTCCTGACCTCAGGTGATCCACCCACCTTGGCCTCCCAAAGTGCTGGGATTGCAGGCATGAGCCAACACGCCCAGCCAGGTATTCCTTGAAATCAACACAAAACGGACCAACACAGATGCCATGCCACAGCCCTATGAGCTAAGTACTTCATCCCCATTTTACAAAGGAGAAAACTGAGGCTCAAAGAGGATAAGTGGTTCCTACCCAAGTTCATACAGATAATAAGGATGGGGCTGGGATTTGAACTTGGGTCTGCTAAGCTTGAGTCTGGGCTCCTTATAACTCTTCTCTCCTCTGGAACAGTGCAGTGCCTGTGCCAACTTCCTAGCTTTTGGCACATGGCAAACAACACGGCAGAGCTGAGTCCCATTTTCTTTTCTTTTGAGATGTAGTCTCGCTCTGTCTCCAGGCTGGAGTGCAGTGGTGCAATCTTGGCTCACTGCAACCTCTGCCTCCCGGGTTCAAGCAATTTTTCTGCCTCAGCCTTTTGAGTAGCTGGGACTACAGGCATATGCCACCATGCCTGGCTAATTCTTTTGTATTTTTAAGAGAGATGGAGTCTCACCAAATTGACCAGGCTGGACTTGAACACCTGACCTCAAGTAATCTGCCCACCTCAGCCTCCCAAAGTGCTGGGATTACAGCTGTGAGCCACCATGCCCAGCCCATTTCTTCATTTGCCAAATGGGCATAGAGTGGTGTCACTTCCTAATGGGAAGAACCTGGCAGCACCTGGCACCGTGGAGGCACATGGTGAGCTCTCAACCAGCATCAGTTAGGAGTGCCACACAACGGCTAAAATCAAAGTAGAATAGAAACACTTGGCTAAACACGTCTTTAAATTCCATTTCTCTGCAATATTCAGACTTGGCAAATCTACAGAAAGCAGATGGGTGGTTGCCAGGAGCCTAGAGGAAGTGGGCAATGAGGAGTGACTGCTTAGTGGATCCAGGGGTTTATTTTGGGGTGATGAGAATGTTTTGGAACTAGATAGAAGCAGTGGTTGCCCAACGCTGTGAATGTGCTGAATGCCACTGAATTGTTCCCTTTAAGATGGTTAATTTTGTTATGTGACGTTTACCTCAATAAAAAAGTGATTCAAACAGAAAAAAACCTGGATTTTCAAAAAGCAAAAAGACTTACTAAGATCCCTAGATACAAATGCTTCATGACACACGAAGAGTTGCAAAATTCTGCAATGACGTCTAATTATCTAATTCAAAAAGCAGGAACTGGCATATTTATTTGTTTTCCACTAAATTTTGTCGGCATACTTGTTTTCTTTCCTTTTTTTTTCTTTTTGAGACAAGGTCTCACTCTATCGCCCAGGCCGGAGTGTAGTGGAGCAATTTTGGCTCATTGCAAACTCTGCCTCCTGGGTTCAAGCAATTTTTGTGCCTCAGCCAGAATTACAGGCACCTGCCACCACACCTAGTTAATTTTTGTATTTTTAGTAGAGATGGGGGTTTCACCATGTTGGCCAGGCTGGTCTCGAACTCCTGACCTGAAGTGATCTGCCCGCCTCAGCCTCCTAAAGGGCTGGGATTACAGGCGTGAGACACAGCACCTGACCCTTCTTTCCTTTTGTTAAAAAAAAAAAAATTTTTTTGGCCAGGCACAGTGGCTCATGCCTGTAATCCCAGCACTTTGGAGGCCGAGGCAGGCAGATCACAAGGTCAAGAGATCGAGACCATCCTGGCCAACGTGGTGAAACCTTGTCTCTACTAAAAATACAGAAATTAGCCAGGCGTGGTGGTGCACGCCTGTAATCCCAGCTACTCGGGAGGCTGAGGCAGGAGAATCGCTTGAACCTGGGAGGCGGAGGTCACAGTGAGCTGAGATCACACCACTGCACTCCAGCCTGGGTGACAAAGCGAGACTCCATCCCAAAAAAAAAAAAAAAAAATCAACTTTTATCATAGATTAAGGGGTCCACTGCAGGTTTGTTACACAGATATATTGCATGATGCTGAAGTTTGGGGGTACAAATGACCCCATCCCCAGGTAGTGAGCCCAGTACCCAATAGGTGGAATTTTCAGCCCATGACTCCCACCCTTCCTTCCCAGTCGAGTGGTCCCCAGTGTCCATTACTCCTATTTTTATGTCTATGTGTATTCAATGTCTAGCTCCCAGAGAACATGCAGTATTTGGTTTTCTGTTCTTGCATTAATTCACTCACAATTGCCCACTTGTTTTCATCCACATTGTTTTTAAGCAAAACATATGGCAGCCCAAGGATTTTCTTCACAGGGAAGACCTGGGTTTGACTCCTGGATTGGCTACTTTCCAGCTGCATGACCTTGAGCATGTCATTTTAGCCCCTGAGCCTCTGTTTTCTCATCTGCAGGCAATATTTCTTCTGTCCTCGGGTGTGTTGTTATGATAAAATGAGCGAATGCAACCCGAGGGCTCTGGGGACAGTCGGCATGTAGTAACTGCTTGCCATGCATGGGGTTTTGTCACCCCCCATCCCTCTGTATTTGGGGGCAGCACCTACCTGGGCGATGAACGGAGTGATGAGAGCACCCACTCTTGCCATGCCGCTGCAGGTGCCCAGGCCGAGGGCCCGCGTTGCCGTGGGGTAGACCTGAAACACAGCAGCCGGATATAGGCATGGGGACATGCAGGTTCCTCCCACCACTCCAGCTCCAAGCTGATAGGACCAACCTCAGGGGCAGGCCGGAAGTCAGGGCAAATCCCTCCAGTGCTGGTGACGCCCTTAAGGGACAGGGATCCTCACCCCAAAGGGCATGGGAGGCTCAACTCAGACCTAGGGCAAGAGGCTGAGCTGCGGGTGGGAACCCAGTAAAGGGGTCCACTCTGTCCTGGGGGGGGCTCCCCAAAGACTCCTCCACCAGGAACTGCCACAAGTTCACAACTCAGGGGTTGCTCTCTACCTTCTTCTCATGCGTTCACCTTGAAGCCTGGGTCACAGGTTTTCAAGGGACTTCATAAAGAGAGAGATGGAAATGTTTACAGTCTCTCAGTTTGTACCCAGTAGGGGCCACGTGCTTTGTTAAGTGGCAAAGTGAGAAGGGATTGTGCATCTTCCAGCCCAAGGTAATTAAGAAGGGTATGTTTTCTCCTCTCCCTTCCCATGTCTGCTGGCTGCGAGAAGGACTCCATGGCCCTAAGCCAGAGGGCTTCTCAGCCTGGGCACTGTGGATGTTTTGGGATGGCTCATTCTTTGTCATGGGGGTGGGGGTTGCTGTGCGTTGTAGGATGTTTGGCAGCATCCCTGGCCTCTACCCACGAGATTCCAGCAGCCCTTCTGCCTCCCCATGCCACCTTATGACAATCCAAAATATTCCCAGGCATTGCCAAATGTCCCCTGGGGCAAGATCCCTGGATAAGAAAGGCACACGATGCGAGGAGCCTGGGTTCCCAAATCACTGGAGGAGGAAAGCTGTCCCCCAACCTAGAACACCCATATTGGACTCTTTTATTTTATAGTATTTTATTTACTTATTTATTTGAGACAGGGTCTCACTCTGTCATTCAGGCTGGAGTGCAGTGGCACAATCATGGCTCACTGCAGCCTCGACCTCCCCGGGTTCAAGTGATCCTCCCACCTCAGCCCCACCCCGAGTAGCTGGGACAACAGGCATGTGCCACCACTCCCAGCTAATTTTTGTATGTTTTTTAGGGATGAGGTTTCACCATGTTACCCAGGTTGGTCTTGAACTCCTGAGCTCAAGCGATCCACCTGCCTCGGCCTCCCGAAGTGCTGGGTTTACAGGCGTGAACCACTGTGCCTGGCCTGGGCTCTTTTATAAGTGAGAAGCTGCTCTCGTATCAAAACCCTCCACTCTGGGGGTTCCCTGTTACATTAGCTAACATGTTTTAACAAATGCAATGCTCAGTGTAGAAAGCTTGCAAAGAATAAAAACTTAAAGAGGAAAATATAAAACTCATTCAGGATCTCAACACTCGAGATTTGTCACATTTTTATGTATATTCCTCTAGCCTTTTCTGGATTATATATTGCACATATATCTTCATTCACTTACTTATTCAGCACATACTTCTTCAGTGCATACCATATGCATTTCTACATGATATTTCAATTTACTCAATTACATAAACAATATAGAAATATATCCTCCTTGTAAAAAATCAAAATGCCTAAATTCTCTCCTGATCTACTTCCACTGCCAGGAAAATTCTCCTCATAGGGCCCTACTATCAGGGATATCTTTGGAATGTATCTTCCCAGATATGTTCAAAAATATACACATGGAAAATAGAAAGTAAAATACATAAATGGTATCATATCATACATATTCTGCAATCTGCCTTTTCCATTCAGTAGTATGTCTTAAAATCTTGTCCACATCAATACATAGACATCCACCTCATTCTTTTTTTTTTTTTTGAGATAGGGTTTTGCTCCATTGCCCAGGCTGGAGTACAGTGGCATGACCATGGCTCACTGCAGCCTTCAACTCCTAGGCTCAAGTGATCCTCCCACCTCAGCCTTCTGAGTAGCTGGAACTACAGGTGTGCGCCACCACAGCCTGGCTCATTTTTATTTTATTTTTTTAGAGAGAGGGTCTTGCTATGTTGCTCAGGCTGGTCTCAAACATCCGGGCTCAAGTGATCCTCCTGCCTCGGCCTCCCAAAGTGTTGGGATTATAGGCATGAGCTACCGCGCCCACCACCTCATTCTTTTTAATGGTTTCTGGAAGCAGAGCATCCCCCACAGCCACTCTCCCCCCACTGCCCGTTCCCCAGCAGCTCCCAGACACCCCTCCTACCTCAGGTGTGTAAACATATGCCGCTTGAAAGCCTCCAGAAATAAACGCTCTTGCAATGAAGAGTAACAGAGTGAGCACATTTCTAGGAGGAGGATAAAGGCAGATGATGGCATTTTTTTCTGTCTGCTTGTTTCAGCATAGTCCTATCTTCCCAGGCAGTATCAATGCCCTAGCAATTGGCAAAGGTTACCCCTCCCCGATGCTCATTGATACAGACATGCAGGCACACATATTTCAGTATCATCTTGACAGTCCTGCTTTTGTAAGTTAATCATTCCTCAAAGTAACAGGCTGAGAGATGGGAACACCTGTGGTGCCCAGGATGGGCACAAGATTAGGGAGAAGTGATATAAATAGTGGAAAGCTCAGACAGGAATTTGGCTGAGGGTGGAGCAGGAATTGAGCCAGGGGCCAGCTGAGCTGGGGAAAGTAAACCACTATTTAGTATTCTTAGGATAATTCTGATCCCAACCCTCTGTCCCATTGTTCCCATAAATGTCCCAGAACACTAACATTTCAGGGTCGAAGCTACATCTCCCAATCTTCCTCAGACCAGGAGGTGGCCCACAGATTCCTCACTAGGTGTGGTCTGGGGCCTCTCAGAGATCAATAGAGGCATAAGCCATTTCTATATTTTGAGGCTCTTGGCAAATGGAAAAATGGAGAAATGTTAAAACGGGATTACAAAACGATCTATTTGAAATATTTCCATTGAACAAGTTAACAGTTTTAACATATATATAAATAGCTACATTTATGATCTCATTGGGAGATGATATCAAAAGTCTAAATATGGCATCATTAGAGCAAAACTGGGGCCAAAGTTCTCCCCTGACTACAACCCCCATCAGAGACCCTGATCTTTTATCCAGTTGTGAGGCAGCCATGACCCTCAGTCCTAATGAACACCTACACCTTTTTACCTGTATCTGCACCCACTCCTGGGCCTGCACTGACACCTGCACCCCCACTTGTACCCACACTTGGGCCAATACCCGCAACCTGGGCCGGCACCCACACCCTACACCCACACTTGGGCCTACACTCACACCTGGGTCTGTACCCCTACCTGCACCCACACCTGCACCCATACTTGGGCCAATACCCACACCTGGGCCTCACCCACACTTGTACCTACACTTGGGCTTACACCCACACTTGGGCTTACACCCACACCTGAGCCTCACCCACACCTGTACCTACACTTGAGCTTACACCCACATCTGGGCATCTACCCCACCTGTACCCACACTTGGGCCAATACCCACACCTGGGCCTGCACCCACACCTGGGCCTGCACCTATACCTGCACCCACACTTGGGCCTATACCCACACCTGGGCCTATACCCACACCTGGGCCTGCACCCACACCTGGGCCTATACCCACACCTGTGCCCACACTTGGGTCTATACACACACCTGGGTCTGCACCCATACCTGGGCATACACCAACACATGCACTCACACCTGTACCTGTACCCATATTCACACCTACACCCACACTTGGGCCTGCACCTCCACCTGGGCTTACATTAACACCTGGCCCGCACATCTACCTGGGCCTGCACCCACACCTGCACCCACACCTCCACCTGTGCTCAAACTCATACCTAGGCTTGCAGATCACCTACCTTCCAACACAGATAAACAGCAGGAGGCTGCAGAAGGAGAAGATGACAAAGCACAGGGCCATGGTCTTCTTGCGCCCCAGGCGGTCAATAATCCACAGAGTCACAAGGACACCTGGAAGGGGAGTGGGGAGAGATAGGCAGCTTCCGATGTGATTCCCAATGCCCTCCATCCTCGTAGCACAGCCTGTATCATCCCCTCCCCTGGAGGGTGGACTAGACTTAGTGACTCACTTCTAATGACTAGAAGACAGCAAAAGTGATAAGGTGTCACTTTTGAGGTCAGGTGATAAAAGACTGTGACTTCTGTCTTGGTGTTCTCTTTCCCTGGCCCTTCTCATATATTTGCTTTGATGGAGAAGGCCAGTTGGCAAGGAACTGAAGGTAGCCTCTGGCCAACAGCCAGCAAGGAACTGAGGCCCTCAGTGCAAAAACCTTCAAGGAATGGAATCTTGCCAGCAACCATGTCAGTAAGCATGGGAGTGGATCCTGCCCCAGCTGAGCTTTCAGATGAGACTACAGACCCTGGGCCAATGCCTTGATTGCAGCCACATGAAATATGCTGAAGTAGAACACCCAGAGAAGCCACAACAACTGTGAGATCATAAGTGTGCATTGTTTTAAGCCACTACATTTTTGGGATGATTTGTTACCTGGCAATAGATAACTAACCCAGGCACCAGCAGGAGCCTGAATGATGACATTCACTGAATCCAGGGAACAGGATGTCTGGGTTCTAATGCCTCATTTTCCCTTTAACTTGCCATGTGGTCTTGGGCTAGTCCCTTACCTCCTCTGAGCCTCATTTTCTTCTTCTATAAAATGGGCCTAAAAAATAACACACTCTACCTCAGTAGAGGCAGTATAGCATAGTGCTTATTAGTAATAATAATAACTGAATTTGAGATAAGCATTTTTACATCTTTTTTTTTTTTTTTTTTTGACAGAGCTTCACTCTGTCACCCAGGGTGGGGCGCAGTGGTGCGTGTGATATCAGCTTATTGCAATCTCCGCCTCCTGGGTTCAAGCGATTCCTGTGCCTCAGCCTGCTGAGTAGCTGGGACTACAGGTGCACGCCATCATGCCCAGCTAATTTTTGTAGTTTTAGTAGAGATGGAGTTTCATCATTTGGCCAGGCTGCTCTCGAACTCCTGACCTCAGGTAATCTGCCTGCCTTGGCCTCCCAAAGCACCAGGATTACAGGCATGAGCCACCATGCCCGGCCCCATTTTTACATCCATAATCTTGTTTAGTCATCAAAACGATCCTCTAAAATACATGCTATTAATTTATCAAATAGCATTTTTCCACAGTTATTCAGTCAATGAGCACCTACTGTGTGTCAGGAACTGTTCCAGGAGGTTGGGGCACATTAATGAACAAAACCAAATAAAACAATACACATAGTAAATAAAGAAGAATCTGGGTTTCAGAGAGGTAAAATCACAGAAATGGTGACTGCTTCCAGTTACAGAAATGTCATGTAATGTGACTTTCTTAAAGTCACAGAAATGGAGATTGCAAATGCTGAGTTTAACTTCTAGCCTTCATTCTTACCTACTAAGCTGTGTGGGGAAAGGGTTTTAGAGGAAAGATAGACAGTGTAGTATGGGACTGAAGACTCTGAATTCTAGGGTGGCAGCACAGGTCTTAGCGCTGCCTGCTGTGGGGTACTCAGTATCATAGTTGGGTTTTCCCAGAAGCAAACCCTGAGACAAGGATGCAAGTGCAAGGCATCGACTTGGGAGGTAATCCAAGAAAGGACCAGCAGGAGAGTGGGGAAGTAAATTTGGGAAGGGAAAGCAACAAACAAAAGGTGGGTATCAAGCAGTTGCCCACTACTGTGGGCAACTGGAGCTGAATTCCACTGGGGGACTCAAAAGCCAGCATAGAACATGCGCCTTGGAGTTTTCCTGCTGATGGGCAAGGACGCTGGGGTATTTGTCCACCAAATCCCACAGTATTGTTTAAAGGCTGCTCCCAGGTGCTAACTCCTTGGCACTTCCAGCTACCTTGCTTGCTTTTAGATACAGACACTTCTCATTCCTTCTGAGATAGTCTTCAGGCACAGAATCCTAGCAGTTGCAAGTTGCGGGAACAGTTTCTGCTACACTGGGCAAATTATGTCACCACTCTGAGCCTCAGTTTCTTCAGCTGTAAAATGGGAATAACTAAACGACTTCACAAGATTAAATAAGATTGCATCTGTAAGACATTTAACACAGGCCTTGGCATACAACAGGTACTCAATAAATACTAGAAGTTATTGTAGTTGTAATAATTATTCCTCTTAAAAGAAAAAAAGATAGATCACCTTTGCATCACGTGCAGGTTTGGATTTTTGACACTCTACTGTTCCTTTCCAGTGTGCCTGGTGTTGGAGGATGATTCTCCATGGGTTTCTCATATTTCTACACATCTTATGAGCAGAGGGATCAGCTGCCCTTTTGGACCAGGCTACCATGTCAGAGTTGTTTGTACAGCAAACAACCTTGGAAGATAGGGATACTGTTTCCCTCTGGAGCAAAGGGCAGGTTGGCTTATCGTCCAATATAATAAAGATGATGTCTCCCTTAGGGAGGTTTCTGGCAGGCTATTATAAAATATTTGGGTTCCCTAAGCTTGGGGTTCCCCAGCTGTGTTGAAAATCCATTGCATGTGTAGCCTCCACGTGGGTCCTTCCTCATCATCCCCATGGGACTTGGGGGCAAGGGAAACAGTCACCAAGGTACTACTCAAGCTGCTTGCTATAATAGTCTTTTGTCTCTGACCCAGGAGTCTCATGTCTTCTGCCAGCATGCATGAAACTGGGCAGCTTAACTTGACAGCCTTCAAGTAGGGTAACATCTCAGCCCCTTCACAGTTCTTGACAACTTATAGTTAAGGATTGAAAAACAAAGTCCCTCGCTGACTAAAAATGGGATTTGCTTCCAGGTAGGGTAGACAGAGCCACCAGCTGAACAATTGCCATATTCCCAGGCTTGCCTGACACAGCTTCACCTTGCACAGGTCCCTCACCTGGAAACTCAGAGAGGGTGGTCCACAGCAAGTCCATGTAATCCTCCTCACTCAGGTACTCGCAGGCCAGGCTGCATTTTGCCTCTACAGCCTTCTTCCGACTGGAGACTGGGGTTGGGAGAGAGAAAGAGAGGGGGAGACATATACAGAGTCTTGAATCACACCTTCCTGCTCCCCATACCTCCTTCCCTGGGGTGATTCAGTTTAGATGCCATAGAAAGAGCCCAGACTCAGAGACAGACAGATTCATGTTTGAACACCAAGCCGCAGTGCTCCAGCTTCATCTCTCTAAGTGTGAGTTTCCTCATAAAACTGGGGCAAATAAAAGCACCATGTAAAGGGATTGAGAGACTGAAAGTGGGCTATGCGTATGAATGTGCTTAGTACAGAATTGGCACGTAGTAGGCACTTTAGTGGCAGACAGACTCTAGGGTGGCCCCCATGATCCCCACTTCCTGGTAGTCATATTCTTGTGTAATCCCCTCCCCTTGATTGTGTAGATGGGGCCTGTGACTTGCTTCTAGCCAACAGAGTACAGCAAAGGTGACAGGATGTATGTGATTGCATTAAACAAGACTGAAATGCCCATTGTGCAGGACTGTCTCTTATGCTTTTCCTTGATGACTATGAAGGAGCAAGTGGCCATGTAGGTGGCCTATGTGGTGGCAAGGAGTGGAGGGGAGCCTCTAGTTGCTGAGGGCAGCCTCAGTTGACAGCCAGCAAGAATTTGAAGCTCTCAGTCCTACAACCACAAGGAATTGAATGCTACCAACAACCAACATAGGTGGGGTGGTGGGTCCTTCCACAGTTGAGCTTCCAGATGAGAACACAGACCTCCAGTCCTGGCTGATGCCTTGATTGCAGCCTGGCAAAGGACCCTGCTAAGTTGTGTCCAGACTCCTGACCTACAGAAGCTATGAGATGATAAGTGTGTGCTGTCTCAGGCCACTAAGAAACAACACACATTTATCATCTCATAGTTTCTGTAGGTCAGGAGTTTGTGGTAATTCTGTTATGCACCAATAGATAACTAATACATGGTTATCACCTGTTCCTGTCCCTCACCATCTACCCCTAACCTTTTTATTGAAAGCGAATTGGAGTGGAACCCAATGGCCAAAGAGGTGATGGAAACAAGATCTCATCCCTGTTCCAGGCAGAGTTAATAAAGAAGGATGAATGCTACATTGCTCCCTTCCTGACCTTGCTTTACTCTCAAACTATGGGACTAATCTCCTAAAGATAGAGGTGAAATGGTCTGAAATGTGTCCCTCCAAAATTCATGTTGAAACCTAATCTCCATTGTGTTGGTATTAAGAGGTAGGGACTTTGGGGAAGTGATTAAGTCATGAAGGCTCTTCCATCATGAATGGGATTAGTGTCTTCATTAAAGAGGTTGAAGGGAGCTCCCCAGCCCTTATGCCATCTGAGGACACAGTGTTTGCCCCTTTTATCATGTGAGGATGCCACAAGAAGATGCTGTCTATAAAGCAGAGAGCTCTCCCCAGACACTGAATCTACTGGTGCCTTGATTTTAGACTTCCCAGCCCCCCAGGACCGACAGAAATAAATTTCTGTTGTTTCTAAGTTACCCAGTCTAAGGTATTTTGTTATAGCAGTCCAAATTGATTCACACACCCTATCTGAACCAGCCATTTAACAGGCAAGACTCAGAGAGGGTGAGTGTCCCCCAAAGTTGCTCCACCTACACTTTCCCCATCTCAGTTGTGGCATCTCCATCCTTCCAGTTGCTCAGGCAGAAAGCCTTGGAGGTATCCTTGACTATTCTCTTTTATTATACCCTACGGCCAACCCATCAGCTGTTCAACCTTCAAAATATATTAGAATAGGATTGGCCACATCTCATCACTGCTGAGACAGAGCAGGGACCCTGTCTCAGGAGGCTTCTGCCCACCACCCCCAAACATGGAAATAAAGGAAAATCTTGAGTCCCTTCAAGAGAAATACCAGGCACCTAGCTAGCCTTGAGAAGTAACTGAAGAACTTAATAAACAGGAAGGTAAAAATACCTTAAAATAATAGCCACCCAAGAAGGTTAGAGCCACAGGATGTTTGGTTCCCTATAGAAACTAAAGATAACATCTTAACATATGTCCCTGAGTTGGTTTCAGAAACCCAGAATCCACCAGATGGAAAATGCTGACCACCATTGAGTAGACATAATAGATAAGGGAGAACTGAGGACTCAACTCTGACCACTGCCCTTGATTATAAATCTTTTCCTGAGGGGCCTAGAGAGAGTCAGGCCCACAGGCCAAACCTTAACACTCCTTCCTGCTGACCTCAAGTTTTTGAAAAAGCCTTCCTTTTTTTTTTTACCAATTACAAATCAAAGAATCTCTAAGTCCACCTGTAAGGCCCCCTGATCCTCAAGATATCCCAATTTCAGGGTCCAAACCAAGGTATAGTTTCCATGGATTGACCTCTGATTTTGCCTGTAACTTCTACTTTCCTAAAATGTACCCCTGCCTTTAAAAATCCTTGTTTATAAGCCATCCAGGAGGTCGGATCTTCAGTGTGAACTGCTTGTTTCTCCTTGCTTGGCATCCTGCAAATAAACGCCCTCCTTTCTCCTACTGCAAACTTCAGTGTAGATGTTTGGCTTTACCGTGCCGGGGGAGGTTCGGTTCAGTAATACTGCCGCCATCTTGGTCTGAGCCATCGTCAACCATCCTCTCTCATCTGGATTACCAAAATAACCTTCCAACTAGTCTACCTGCTTCTACGCTTGTACTCACTTTCTCCCCTGACCTCTCCACCCAGCCATGGTCTATTTCCAACACGTCAGTCAAAGGGATACTTTTTAAACCTAAGTCAAATCACTGTTATTCCTCTGCCTAAAACTCTGCAATGACCTCCCATGACACATAGAGTAAAAGCCAAAGTCCTTCAAAAATCTTTAAGGCCCTATATTATCTGGCACTTAACACATCCTTGACCCCACCTTCTACTTCTTCCCCTGTTGCTCCACTCACTCTACTCCAGCACACTGGTCTCCTTGCTGTTCCTTTGGCAAGTAAGGCATGCACCTGCCTCAGGATCTTTGCACTGGCTGATCTCTCTTCCTGAATTGCCCTTTATCCCTCCCCATGATGAATTTCCTCACTTCCTTCAAGTCTTTGAATTTCACCTTCTCATTGAGGCCACCCTGACCATCCTATTTAAAACTTAACTCTAACCACTGCCCCTTTATCTGCCCTACATTCCTGACCTTTTTTTTTTTTTTGAGACAGGGTCTCACTTTGTCACCCAGGCTGGAGTGCAGTGGCACAATCACCGCTCACTGCAGCCTTGAATTCCTGGGCTCAAGCAATTTTCCCACCTCAGCCTCCCAAATAGCTGGGACCACAGGCACACACCACCAGGCCCAGCTAATTATTTTGTATTCTTTGTAGAGATAGGAATTTGCCACATTGCCCAGGTTGGTCTCGAACTCCTAGCCTCAAGCAATCCTCCCTCCTCGCCCTCCCAATTGCTGGTATTACAGGTGTGAGCCACCACACCTGGGCTTGTTGCCATCTTTATGTTCATGAGTACCCAATGTTTAGCTCCCACTTATAAGTAAGAACATGTCGTATTTGGTTTTCTGTTCTTGTGCTAATTTGCTTAGGGTAATGGCCTCCAGCTGCCTCCATGCTGCTGCAAAGGACATGATTTTGTTCTTTTTTATGGCTGTGTAGTATTTCATGGTGTACTGGTACCATATTTTCTTAACCCAATCCACAGAAATATGGCATGCTTCATCAATTTGCATGGAATCCTTGTGCAGAGTCCATGCTAATTTTCTCTGTATTGTTCTAATTTTAGTATATGTGCTGCTGAAGTAAGCATGTGTGAAAGACTTTGAAATGGGCAAAAATGTCTTGTAGTTGTACCTTTATAGGTTACCTTCACCTGTCATTGTCTTTGAGCTATGTTGTAGAAAAATGATAGTAATGTAAATGATTCTAGTATTAATACATAGAAATGCAAATAGTGCCTGGTGGTGATGCAGTTGACTGCCCTATACATATTGACCAGTTTTGCCTCTAATTGTAAATTCACTTCAGCATTTCTGATTGCCTGTATATGTGTTTGCTTTGACTTCTCCTTTGAACCAGTTGTACCCTCTTATTTGTGTTAGTAGACAATTCTCTTTGGGTCTCTGACATTTCTGCATGTTTTGAGTAGATGCGCTGACTACCTTTGTTCTGGACTATATTTTCAAGGATATTTGTTTAGCAAACAGCCTTGGAAGAAAGAGAATGTCTCCCCTTGGCTCAAATAGTAGTTTGCTTATGGCTTTCGAAGATAAAATGTCTCTCTCCAGAGCAAAGGACAGGCATGCTTACTGTCTAGTATAAAAGGTTGGGGTTCCCTAAGCTCAGGGATCTTCTCTTGTTACACAACTCAATACTTTTGTTGGTATTGCCTGCCCCTCTTCATGTTACCCTGGGGGATTGGGGGCTTGAGGAACTGGTGTAGGAAAATGCCGATACTCTGGCTACTGCAATTGCTATGAGTAATATGGTCCTTTGTCTCTGACCCAGGAGTGTTGTGTCCTCTGCTAGCACCTGTGGGAGCTGTGAAAGGCTAACTTGTCAGCTTGCAAATAGGTCACACTCAGACTTTAAGTAATTCTTAACTGATTCATTTATTAATTAATGAGTTAATTGAAGTCTGTCATGTATTAATTTTATATTTGTACGAGAGGCATGATTTTACCTTTTGTTTAAAATTTTTCCTTTAACTCATCTATCACCTTGTAATATACTATATAATTTCTCATCATGCTATTGTCTCCCCTTCCCCCCAAATATAAGCCCACAGGGCAGAAATATTTGTCTTTTGTAATTAGAATTCACTGACGTATTCTAATGACAAAGACTCTCTCTCTCTCTTTTTTTTTTTTTTTTTTTGAAAGAGGCTCTCACTCTGTTGCCCAGGCTGGAGCAGGATTGTGCAGTGGCACAATCTTCGCTCACTGCAACCCTCCACACCTGCAGGCTCAAGTGATCCTCCCACTTCAGCCTCCTGAGTAGCTGGGACCACAGGCACACCAAGTCAGGCTACTTTTTTGTACTTTTTATAGAGATGGGGTCTTACCATTTGCCCAGGCTGGTCTTGAACTCCTGAGCTCAAGTGATTCACCTGCCTCAGCCTCCCAAAGTGCTGGGATTAAAGGCATGAGCCACCATGCTCAGCTGACAAAAAACTCTTTTTTTTTTTTTTTTGAGAGAGAGTCTCATACCATCGCCCAGGTTGGAAAGCAGTGGTGCTATATTGGCTCACTGCAACCTCCGCCTCCTGGGTTCAAGCAATTCTCCTGACTTGGCCTCCCGAGTAGCTGGGATTACAGGCACATGCCATCATGCCTGGCTACTTTTTGTATTTTAGTAGAGATGAGTTTCACCATTTTGGCCAGGCTGGTCTCAAACTCCTGACCTCAAGTGGTCCACCTGCCTCAGCCTCCCAAAGTGCTGGGATTACAGGTGTGAGCCACCATGCGCAGCCAACCCCCACACCCCCCTGACCCCCACCATTTTAACCAAACTTTTGTCAGGCTCCTCTGAGTCTTTTTAAAATTTCATCCTCACCCTTGGGCTCTGTCTAGTTTTGACAAGATACTGCTGAATCAGTCTAGCGAAAATGCACACCTTTGATATTTTTGATCCAATTCCTCACCCCCCACCCTTGATTTCTTATCACCCTGGCCTGTGATGGGGTTCAGGACATGCCAACCCTCAAATATGGCACCTTGGCATTTTGAATATTTTAAGTCAAAATAATTGGAGAAACAGCATGTGGAGAAGGGGCCTCTGACCTTCCTTTGCCCCTCACCCCTGAAGCAGGTCATAAAACCCAGACGGATTTTCTGATTTTTTTTTTTTTTTTGAGACAGAACCTCACTCTGTCACCCAGGCTGGAATGCAGTGGTACAATCTCGTCTCACAGCAAGCTCCGCTTCTCAGGCTCAAGCGATCCTCCCAGTTCAGCCTCCCAAGTAGCTGGGAACACAGATGCACGCCACCACACTCGGCTCAGTTTTTGTAGTTTTGATAGAGACAGGGTTTCACCATATTGCCCAGGCTGGTCTCGAACTCCTGAGTTCAAGCAATCTGCCCGCGTCAGCCTCTCAGAGTGCTGGGATTACAGGCATGAACCACCATGCCCGGCCATTTTATGACTTTATTTTGAAGCAAATCATAAAACCCTCAGGTGAGAGGTGCCCTGCCTATACCCAGAGAAAAAGAAAATCCTTATCTCCAAAGACACAGGGACAGAAAAGAATCTGAACAGGCCTTGCTGACTTTCCCCCAGTTTGTTACCACTAGGTCACACTCTTCGTCCTGTCATATTTCTCTACGACTCTCCACTGTTCATCAAATCTGGCACAAAGATACTCAGGCTTAACCATTTCTCCAGGTCTTCCTTTCCTTATGAAGGCTCCTATGCCACATCAAACTTAGATGAAATACGTTCATATGCTTTTCTTAATCTGTCTTTTGTTATAGGGGCCTCAGTCATAAAACCAGGATGAATAGAAGGAAAGATATGCTTCCTCCCCTATACTTGCCTTCAGCAATAGTCCTTTTTAAATATTTATTTATTTAGTTAGTTAGTTAGTTAGTTAGCTAGTTATATTTTTAGAGACAGGGCCTCGCTCTGTTGCCCAGGCTGGAATGCAATGGTGTGATCACACCTCACTGCAGCTTTGACTTCCCCAGGCCCAGACAATCCTCCTGCCTCAGCCTCCTGAGTAGCTGGGACCACAGGCATGCGAATTTTTTCTACATTTTGTAGAAATGGGGTCTCACTATGTTGCCCAGGCTGGTCTTGAACTCCTGAGCATAAGCAATCCTCCCACTTTTGCCTCCCAAGGTGCTGGGATTACGAGTATGAGCCTGGCCCAGCAATAATCCTATCAAGTCGGTTTAACCAGAAACCATCTTATCCTTGACATTTCCTCTTAGTAATTTTCCATCCACTGACTCCCCCACCCTGCTCCCTGGCTATAAATCCCCACTTTGAATACTTGCGTATACAGAAAGGAGCCCAGTTCTATACTGAGGTCTCTCTCCTCCTATTGCAATTGTTACTAAATGAAATTTTCCTTCACTGCTTTCACTTCTGTCCAGCTCTGGCTTTTTTGGACACTGACACATAGACCAGTACCTGGCGTGTAGAAAATACATACTAAGTAAATGACTTGCCCAAAGTGACACAGGTACTTGGTGCTGGAACCCAGGTCTCCTAATTTCCAGCTGTGGGCTTGTTCTACAGTTTTACTTTCCCACCCAGGTATAAGAGAGAGCTTTTCAACAGGGGTTGGCAAACTCTGACCAAATCTGGTCCCTTGCCTGTTTTTTGCCTGACCTATGTGCTAAAAATGTTTTTTTCGAATGATTTTTAGAAATTAAAAGAAGAGGAAATAATGAGGCATAAAAATGACCCAAAATTCAAATTTGCATGGAAACACAAGCAATGCTTGTTCATTTATATTGTTAAAAGAAAGACCTTGGACAAATTAAATGTAACAGAGTTTAATTGAACAAACAGTAAATCGTGAATCAGGCAGCCCCCAAGCCAGAATAGGGTCAGAGACAGACTGGTACTGCCAAGTGTTTAAAGGTTTATGGACAGAAACAGGAAAGTAACAGAAGACGGAAGTGAGATACAGAAATTGCTGGACTGGTTACAGCTCAGTGTTTGCCTTATTTGAATAGAGTTTGAACAGTTGATTGCTTTTTTTTTTTTTTTTTTTTTAGAGAGAATCTCGCTTTGTTGCCCAGGCTGGAGTGCAGTGGCGTCTTCTCGGCTCACTGCAGCCTCAGCCTCCCCAGTTCAAGCAATTCTGCCTCAGCTTCCTGAGTAGCTGGGATTATAGGCATGTGCCACCACACTCAGCTAATTTTTGTATTTTTAGTAGAGATGGGGTTTCGCCGTGTTGGCCAGGCTGGTCCTGAACTCCTGACCTCAGGTGATCCTCCCACCTCGGCTCCCAAAGTCCTGGGATTACAGGCATGAGCCACTACGCCTGGTGAGTTGACTGCTTTTGAGTGGCGGAAATCAGCGATTGGCACAAGAGTAGATTACAGTCTGTTCACACATCCAGTTAGGTTACAGTTCATACAGCTCACTATGTATGGAGAAACTTTAGGCTGAACTTAAAATATGCAAGGAGGCAGCTTTAGGCTGGACTTAATTTAACAATATGCCGTCCACTGTTGTGCTGCTACAAACAACAGAGTTATGTGGCCTGCAAATCCTAAAATATTTACTACCTGACCTTTTATAGAAAAAGATTGCTAACCCCTGTTTTACGACATTCCCCTGAATCCTTAGTTTAAGCATTAGGATGCTTAGCTTAAGCATTCTACTCTTAGGAGAGGCAATCTGTGCTCAGTCAATACCAAACCCTGTGATTGACTCTACAATCAAAGCACATCAGCAGAGCATTTAACACAGACTCTCCCACACCCCCACAGTGAGATGGGACTCCACTACCTCACTCAATCCTTATACCAATAAACAAAACTATTAACTATGATTATAGAGGCCTAATATAAAAGATAATTGGGCAAACCCCGAACACAAGCAGGAACTTGATTCTTTTATCCTCTAACCTGAGTTCAATGCTGAGAATTTAGTGTTATCTTAAAAGTCAGAATGGCTTAAAAGCACAGGCATAAAAAAGCATATAGACTTTTCTTTGCATTTGTTTCTTTTTGTCCAGAGGTTCCCACCTCCAGCTGCACAATAGAATCACATGGAGAGCTTTTAAAACTTACTAATGCTTGAGCTCCACCTGCTCTCCCAAGTCCTGATTAAATGGGTCTGGGCACTGTTTAAAAGCTTCCCGGCTCTGCATGGTGGCTCACGCCTGTAATCCCAGCACCTCGGGAGGCCGAGGTGGGTGGATCACGAGGTCAAGAGATTGAGACCATCCTGGCCAACATGGTGAAACCCCGTCTCTACTAAAAAATACAAAAAATTAGCTGGGCGTGATGGCGGTCGCCTGTAGTCCCAGCTACTCGGGAGGCTGAGGCAGGAGAATAACTTGAACCCGGGAGGTGGAGCTTGCAGTGAGCCGAGATTGCGCCACTGCACTCCAGCCTGGCGACTGAGCGAGACTCCGTCTCAAAAAAAAAAAAAAAAATGCTTCCCGGGTGAGTCTGTTATGTGGCCGTGGTGGAGAGCCAACTTGGTCCTCAAACTTAATGTGCACATTAGAATTATTGCTCAGGATCATATCCATAAAGCTCTGAGTACTATACTTCGTGAGGGCTCTTTAGGGGATTTGCGATGATAATTTTATTTTTTTATTTTTATTTTTTTTACACACACAGAGTCTCGCTCTCACCCAGGCTGGATTGCCGAGGCACAATCATGGCTCACGGCAGCCTGGAACTCATGGGCTCAGGCAGCCCTTCTGCCTCAGCCTCCCAGCTAGTAGCTAGGACTACAGGCACACACCACCATGCCCAGCTAATTTTTTAAATTTTTTGTAGAGACAGGGTCTTGCCATGTTGTCCAGGCTGTTCTTGAACTCCTGGCCTCAAGTGATCCTCCTGCCTCTTCCTCCCAAACCGCTAGGATTATGGGTGTGAGACACCATACCCAGCCATAATTTTAACCTATATTACATTTTCACCTTAAAATACTATTAGGCCCAGGAGATCAAGGCTGCAGTGAGCTATGATCACACCACTGCTCTCCAGCCTGGGTAACAGAGCAAGACCCTGTCTCAAAAAAAAGAAAAAGTAATGCTATTAGAAAAAATTAACTGAGAGGCCATTAGTCTGAGACAGCTCCAGTGTTGTGGGGTCCTAGGCGAGCAAACTGAAATCAGTTAAGAGTAACTTAACTGCAAACCAAAAATGAAATCCTAAGCTCCCAATCTACTGAACGAATCCCTTCTTGGCCAAGGGGACCCCAGAGAAACCTGAAAAACTGAATTCCGGCCATGATGGGAAGGAGGTTCAGACATACCTCCTTCTTATACCCCCTCCCTCTTGGAGTTTAGGCACAGCTGACCAGCATTAACATTAAAACAAAGATCGTAAGACCGACAAAACAGACTCTTCGTGGCAATCAGATACCAAATTCCAACTTGACTCTAGTAGAACATCACTCAACAGACAGCAGACCCTGAGGGAAATCAAAATATTTTACTCCCAAATATAATTCTTTTTTTTTCGTTTTTGAAATGGAATCTCACTCTGTCGCCTAGGCTGGAGTGCAGTGGTGCAATCTCTGCTCACTGCAACCCCCACCTGCTGAGTCCAAGCGATTCTCCTGGCTTAGCCTCCTGAGTAGCTGGGATTACAAGCACATACCACCGCAACCAGCTAATTTTTGTACTTATAGTGTAGACGGGGTTTTGTCATGTTGGCCAGGCTGGTCTCTAACTCCTGGCCTCAGCCTACCTGCCTCGGCCTCCTAAAGTGCTGGGACTACATGCACGAGCCACCACGCCTGGCCTGCAACTTTTCAGCCTCTTTTCTGTGAATAAATAAATAAATAAGTAAATTTAACTAACATGCTATTTCTTTTTGCACCTGTAGTCCCAGCTACTTTGGGGGCTGAAGTAGGAAGATCTCTTGAGCCCAGGAGGTGGAGGCTGCAGTGAGCCATGACTGTGCCACTGCACTCCACCCTGGGTGAAAGAATGAGACCTTGTCTCAAAAATAATAATAATAATAGGCCAGGCACAGTGGCTCACACCTGTAATCCCAGCACTTTGGAAGTCCAAGGCAGTCAGATCATCTGAGGTCAGGAGTTTGAGACCTGCCTGGCCAACACTGCAAAACACCATCTTTACTAAAAAAAATACAAAAATTAGCCAGACATGGTGGTGCCACCTGTAATCCCAGCTACTTGGGAGGCTGAGGCAGGAGGATTGCTTGAACCCAGGAAGCGGAGGCTGCAGTGAGCTGAGATCAAGCCACTGCACTCCAGCCTGGGCGACAGAGCAAGACTCCGTCAAAAATAAAAAATAAAAAAATAATAATAATAAATTTAATAATAATAATTTTGAAAAGGAAGATTCACAGCAAACCATGTGAAGGGGCCTAGTTTACCTGAGCTGGCTGACAAGAAAATCTGCTCTGTTTTAATCCAATAAGGAAAGTCACTTTGAAACAACCCACCTGCTTTTTGTTCCCTGTTTCTGTTTTCTTCAGCTCTTTTCTACTGATTCATAAATCGCTGTCCGCTCAGATAAACTCTTCAAAATTACCTCTGTTTTTCTTTAATGTGCCTTGGTTTATGTTTTAACAGTGCGAACTTCAGAGCCCAAACCCTGACATAAGATGTGGCTCCTCTAAGATTAGCTCCATCGCGACAAGACTGTCCAGGTTTCTACAGAGTGTCTTGGAAACCACAGAAGTAGTACAAGGCCAATCCCTTAAGGGCAGAGCCTGGGGTGGGAGTGTGTGCATGACTGTGTATGTGCCGAGGGTGTGGGAGTAGTTAGCTGGCAAAGACAACCAAGATACTCACTGCCGCAGACATCTCCTGCCTGGAAGAGTTCTGTGGTGAGTAGAACTAACCCGTAGTAAGAGAATGCATTGGAAAACCTGCCAGGAGAAAGCAAGAAAGGTAAAGAAATGATCAGAGGAACACCAGTCCCCTTTCCCTACCCCCTTGGGAAGGGCCAATGTCTACAGCAGCAGGGACCAGTCTTTGGGCTTCACTGGGATTTTGGGGGCTTTACTGGGGACCTTGAGCAAGAAGATGGTAGGTAAAAAAGCATCACGATATGATCAAAGGGAAGTGATCCTGTGTCCTTTGAAAGACCAAGAACTGTCAGAGGTGTTTGAACCAGAGCACCTCCATCTTGAATAGGGGTTGGGTAAATGAAGGCTGAGACCTACTGGGCTGCATTCCCAGATGGTTACGCATTTTAAGTCACAGGATAAGATAGGAGGTCGGCCAAGATACAGATCATAAAGACCTTGCTGATAAAGCAGGTTGCAGTAAAGAAGCCAGCTATGAATCCACCAAAACCAAGATGGCGATGAGAGTGACCTCTGGTCATCCTCACTGCTACACTCCCACCAGTGCCGTTACAGTTTACAAATGCCATGGCAACTTCAGGAAGTTACCCTATATGGTCTAAAAAGGGAAGGCATGAATAATCCACCTCTTGTTTAGCACATCACCAAGAAATAACCATAAAAATGGGCAACCAGGAGCCCTTGGGGCTGCTCTGCCTATGGAGCAGCCATTCTTTTATTCCTTTACTTTCTTAATAAAGTTGCTTTCACATTACTCTATAGACTGGTCTTGAATTATTTCTTGCATGAAATCCAAAAACCCTCTCTTGGGGTCTGAATCAGGACACCTTTCTGGTAACAGAACTATGCTATACAAGAGACACAACACCTCCAAGGCTGTCTACCCAACTGGCAATAGGGGAAAAATGGGACCAACCTCTGGAAGAAAACAGCCCCATTAATATCTTTTAGGGCTCTGGGTCAATTGCGTCAACTTGGACATGTGATTTTCGAATTTCAGAGCAGAATGACACCGTTTATTAATTCCTGGCTGACCCAGAAATTAGAATACTCAAGTTTGCAAGACCGGAACCTTCTCATCCAGTAGAATAGTTATATGAAAACTCAGTCATAATCAGAAGCCAGTGATTCATTTCCTTAGGTTTCAATGTGTGCAAGCAAATGTAGTGGCTTTCATAATGCACTAAAATTAGTCTCTAATTAATTGCTTCAGTATTCAAGGAGCGTTGGCCCAACCAAATTACATGTGCTCAAAGGTGGGTATTCTCAACTCTGATGCCCCACCATCCTTTTAAAAAATTCTGCAGGCTCACTGAGTTAATTGAGCTCTTAGGAATTCGGGGCAGAGCTAGAGTCCGTTCTGTATATTATCAAAGCTTTTTTCTCCTCTTCCCTGTAATTGACCACCTTGGGGACACTTCCCTGTTAATTAGCACCTTTGCTAAATGGTGAATAGAAAAATGAGAACTGGTTAAAATAGAACATAAAGCCTTAAGCCAGGCCAATTTTGTTCACTATTAATGCTGTGTACATGAATTGGTGCAAAGAGACTTGAAAGATGACTGCAGCTCCAATTCATTGTGGAGTTTAAGGTGATTACACTCTCCAAATACCACCCCCAACCCACACCTTCTGTCTCCACTCCCTTCCATGGGTATTATTTAAGAAAAAGTCCAACAGGATCAGAACTGGAACTTAAAAGGATGCCCATGTTGACCAAATCAGTGGTTCCCAAAATACGTGCCACATGCCACCCCTGTGGTACCCAAGGGGCAATGTGGGCTACAGGGAAGACACTGACATAGTATAAATACACACACACACACACACACACACACACACATGTATTTTTGAGACAGAGTCTCACTCTGTTGCCCAGGCTGGAGTGCAGGGGAGCAATGTCGGCTCACTGCAGCTTCTGTCTCCCGGGTTCAAGTGGTTCTCATCCCCCAGCCTCCCAAGTAGCTGGGACTACAGGTGCCCACCACCATGCCTGGCTAATTTTTGTATTTTAGTAGAGATAGGATTATGCCATGTTGGCCAGGCTGATCTCGAACTCCTGACCTCAGGTGATCCACCTGCCTCAGCCTCCCACAGTGCTGGGATTACAGGCATGAGACACCACACCAGCCCATATAGCAGAAATATTTAATCGTATTGTGAAAGAAAAATTACTTTTTAAGTTTACTTTCAATCCTTTCAATCCTTTTAAATTATATCCCAGTCTCACTTATGTGCTAATGAGTCCTTAACACCTCCCCTCTCCCATCTCTTTTTGTTTTGAGACAGGGTCTCACTCTGTTGCCCAGGCTGGAGTACAGTGGCATGATCACAGCTCATTGCAGCCTCAACCTCCTGGGCTCAAGTGATCCTCCCACCTCAGCCTCCTGAGTAGCTGGGACCACAGGTGCATGCCTCCACACCCAGCTAATTTAAACATTTTTTGTAGAGACAGGGTTTTACCGTGTTGCCCAGCCTGGTCTCAAACTGCTGGCCTCGAGAGATATTCCCACCTTGACCTTACCAAAGTGTTGGGATTATGGGCATGAGCCACCATGCCCAGCCAGCCTTCTTATCTCTTAAATACAGAGGCTCACTGCCTCTGCAAACCTCCGTCTAGTTACTTTTGCTGATATTTCTCTTTAAGAGTGCCTTCTATCTGTGACTTGCAATTAAGGTGTTTTCTTTTAAAGTAGAGTTATAAGCCTGGTTCAGCGGCTTACAACTGTAATCCCAGAATTTGGGGAGGCTGAGGAGGGAGGATTGCTTGAGTTCAGGAGTTCAAGGCTGCAGTAAGCTAGGAGAGCGCCACTGCACTCCAGCCTGCACGGTGATTAAAAGCAGTCAAGTTAAAGAAAAAGATGAAGGAAATGATAGTACGTACAGATGATAACCTGGATATGACGGAAATCAGGAGGATGATGTTCGAACTACTGAAATTTGCAAACGCTGCCTGAAATCAAAGTGCTATCTGTCCATTGCATTAAAACAAAACCCAAAACAGGGCACAGGGAGTGGAAAGGGGTCAAAGTGGTCAACAAACAGCTCTTACCATATAAACCACAGCAGCAAAGTTGTCCATCTAAAATGGGGTGTGAAAAGGTCCCTCATTTTGCCTCGGTCTTCCTGTTTCAAAACAAGGACATAGTGTTTATTCTCTCCCCTACAGATGCACGGGAGATGGGCTGGTGGCCTGAGACTAGTGCACACCAGGCTGGGAGGAAGGTTTCTAGTAAGTAGGACACTGGAGCTCTGAGAACCCAGGTCTCAAATCTACAGGACGCAGCCTCCCAGCCCCTCCAGCCAGAACCCAGCCATGTCCAGGGGCATGATCCCCACAGGATGGATCTCACGCCCTCCAACCTGGAAACCTGGACTTGGGAAGCAGATCCCTCCTTCCTGGCCCCTCAGACCTCAGCACAGATCCAAGGACACAGCAAGCAGAAAACCAGTCCAAAGCATGTCCAGCCATTTCACACACACACATGTGCCTTCCCCAGTTCTAGGTCTAGGTGGCAACAGTTAATGTGCTGAGAAACTAATTCACCAAAGGCCAATTTACCAAAAGATTGATTAGCTAAATGACCGATTGGCCAATTTTACATAATTCACAAATTTATCAAACTTTGCTTTACGATGTTCTTTAAAAAATATATGCTATGGCCAGGTGTGGTGGTTCGTGCCTGTAATCCCAGCACTTTGGGAGGCCGGGGCAGGTTGATCACTTGAAGCCAGGAGTTCGAGACCAGCCTGGCTTTCCCTCATCCATGGAAGGGATCTCTCCCCAAAGGCAACCAAATAGGCTTCTGCACCTCTTGAGGAATCCATCCTGCTCTGCCCCTGTAGATTTGGGGCAGGTCCCCTGGACTCTATGTTGTCAGACCAAACACCTCCTTCCAACTTGGTGAAATGCCATTCAGTTCTTCTTGCATAATATAAAAAGAATCAGAAATATAACTTTATTTTAAAAGGTAATTTCTTTATAGGATCTGATGTCTGCTTAAGGTATTTGTCATGTTTCTTCAATCGGCTTGGATGGTTCTTGAGGGCAGGGACTGCAGCCTTAAATCCGAATCTTTTCTCCCCATGTGTGCAATGCTGGTGCCTACATATACTAGGTGCTCATTAAGTTTCACCGTGGTGGACTCCCTGATGGTGTTACCAGCGGAGTGAGGCACCATTCATTAAGAACACCTACACAGGGTGCGGTTTGATCCCCTAGATCTAAGCACACTCCTTCCTGATATGGTTTTATTGCACAGCTTTTGCCAATCAGTCTCATTCGCTAGTCAGACTTCATCTGTGCTGAAAGGCGAAACCAAAGCAGGAGCAGTTACAGGACCCATTAGCAGAGGTTACTTTTCTCTAATCACTGGTGAAATTCTCCAGGAAGCATTTTTAGAACTTGGAAGTGAAAATACAGATTGGAGTTGCCAAATTACCCTTGCAGGTCCTGTCTACTGGGCCCTCATCTGCTCCATGTGCACGCACACACCCCACCTTGGGTACACATACCCACATGTGTCCTCGCATGCATGCCCTACTCCATATGCACACACTCCCCTGCATGCACCCCGATACGCACATTGCAGAGTCTATTGGTCCAGGCACTGACCTGTCTGGAGATGATGAGTTTCCCCAGCGGCATGGGAGCTCCGTTTTCAGTTGCTATCCTCTTTAAGGTGGCGATTGCCTTTTCCTGGTTCCCTGACAGCACATCATACCTTGCACTTTCAGGCAGCCACTGGGATGGGGGAGACAGGAAACCCAGGCGTGGCTGGTTAGGGTGGAACAGAGCACTCGCTTCTAGCCACACAGTGTTGCATGTGGGGTCTTTAAGAGTGGGGGCTCTGGAGCCAGAGAGCTGACTTCAAATCCTGGCCCCACCATTTATTATGTTGGTTGTGTGACCCTGTACAATTACTTGACTTCTCTGTGCTTTCATTTCCTTCTCCATAAAATGTGAATGATAAGAGATCCTACCTCTTAGGGCTCTTAAGAGGATTAAACAGGATAATACAGGCAAGGTGCCTAGTGCAGTGCCTGGTATGGGTTAATGCAGTTATTATTATTGTCACGGTTGCTATTACTATTATTTGGGGCTGTTTTCAGAGTTCCAGGTGAGGGCTGAATTAAATTAAGATCACTGTCAGAAATCTCACCCCCATTGTTCAAGGAATTACACCTCACCTGTATTCAGCATCATCTTGCAAACTCAGTTCAAGAGAAAGAAAGAAATCAGAAAGATTTTTAGGCCAATGGAAGTCCCAACCCCAAATGACTACATACATACATTTCTGTAAAAATGGAGCAACAGCTGTTTGAAACAGCAGGTATACTGGAGAAAAGACTAGGAGTTAGAAGATCTGATTTAGAGTTCTTTTGTCTACTTGCTGTAGGCCCTTTAACAAGTCAATTAGCCCCTCTGGGCTTCAGTTTTCTCATCAATAAAAAGAGGATATAGCAGAGAGTGCAAATGCCCACCAACATTCTGTTTCCTTTTTCATAGCGCAAAGTTGTCCTTAGATGTGGCTGCCCAGACAGGGACTACATTTCCCAGCTCCCTTTGCATCTAGGTGGGACCAAGTGACTTGTGTTCACCAATGGCATATGAGCAGACTATTCCTGGCCAAGGTATTTAAGAAGTGACTGTGCAGTCTCCACTTGCCTTTTGCAAGTCTGTTGTCTGTATGTAGAAGACTTCAAAGCCCTAGAGGATGGCAGAGCCACCAGCTGGACAAAAACTGGGCCCAGAATTCCACTTGCCAACCAGAAAAGTCATTCTGAACTATTGTGTTAGTGAGAGAGAAGCTCCTATCGTGCTGTTACTGAACTTGTGGGCTTTATTTGTTTCAGCAGCTGGTATCACCCTGACTAATATAGGGGTTCATTATAGTCCTGTGATTATTGGGAGGAATAAATATGATAATGCATGGAGCACAGAGCCTGCCACACAGTTAAGCTTAATAATTATTAATACTTATTATCATTACCAGGAATTTTTGTGGTATTTACCGTACATGAGAACTACCCATCTCTAGGCTTATTTTAGTGCCTACTGGCTGTAAAGTGTTTCAAGCATGTGCCCATGAAATGATGAGTATGTGGCAAGATCTCAGTAGAGGGTGTGGTTTATGCACAGATGAGATGAAGAGATCATTTAAACTCCTGGAGCCAGCCATGCCTGAAGTCTGACTTAATCCTCTGAAATGTATTTATCCCTCTCTTTTACTCAAGCCAGTTTGAATTGGGTTTCTGTCATTTGAAACTTAAGAGTCTCAACTAGTGCAATACAATCACTTTAAGTGTAGATTTTGCAATGATGGGGCCAATGTATCCTCCCATCCCCAGTTATCTCCCCAGAAAACATCCCAGAAGTGTCTGTCTGGAGGAAATCTAACACTCCATACTGGGGCTACCCCAGGCCATAGCTCCCTTGTCTCATTTCCTGATTTAAAAAAAATAATCTTGAAAGGTGGCTTTGGTATCCTTCCCTATCCCCTCCCCACCAAAATAGAGTGGACAGTAAGATGTCAGACAGCAAAAGGTGAAATCTCTTAAAGGATACCTACGAAACACAGCACGGCAAAGAGGAGGAGCGGGACAGCTGAGAGGATGAGCAGCCAACGCCAGCCCAGGCTGGGCATCACGAACACAGCCAGGACGACCTCGAACACTGTCCCGATGGCCCAGAATACCTGGCACAGGAGAATCAGGGTCAGTGGTGGGGGTAGCATGGTCCATACAGAGAGGAATTATGGGGGCATTGTGGACAAGGGTATCTCTGTGGGTAAGGGGTCATCGGAGTCAGTAAGGTTAGAATAGCCACACTTTCCCTGTGGTCTATATGGTTGGGCCAGGGCTGCCATGTTGCCCAGCTCACAAGGGTACCATTATACACTGTATAATATTTGCATGGCACCTGCTGGAGCTGAGCAATGTGGCAGCTTTGGTTAAGGAGATCAATGTGACCAATATTACGTGATGTCAAATTGGTAGTGAACACACTGGTTCTCTCTCTGTCTCTCTGTCTTTTTGTCTTGCTCTGTCACCCAGGCTGGAGTACAGTGTCCCGATCATGGCTCACTGTAGCCTTAACCTCCCAGGCTCAAGCAATCCTCCCACCTCAGCCTCCTGAGTGGCTGGAACTACAGGCACATGCCACCATGCCTGGCTAATTTCTTTTGTATTTTTAGTAGAGACAGGGTTTCACTATGTTTCCCAGGCCTCCTGGGCTCCTCGGCCTCCCAAAGCGCTGGGATTACAGGCATGAGCCACCAGACCCAGCCTCAAATTTTTTATTGTGGTAAAATACACATAACAAAATTTACCATCTTAATCATTTTTAAGTGTACAGTTCAGTGGTATTAAATACATTCACAATATTGCACAAACATCACCACTCCCCTTCTCCAGAACTCAATTTGCAAACGTGAAAGTCTGTGCCCATTTTTTTTTTTCTTTTTTTGAGACAGAGTCTTGCTCTGTCGCCCAGGCTGGAGTATAGTGGCGCAATCTTGGCTCACTGCAACCTCTGCCTTGCAGGTTCAAGCGATTCTCCTGCCTCAGCCTCCCGAGTAGCTGGGATTACAGGCGCCCCCCTCAACCACACCCAGCTAATTTTTGTATTTTTAGTAGAGACGGGGTTTCACCATGTTGGCCAGGGTGGTCTTGAACTCCTGACCTCATGGGATCCACCCCCCTCGGCCTCCCAAAGTGCTGGGATTACAGGCATGAGCCACCACGCCCGGCAAGAAATTCTGTACCATTAAGCAATAACTCTCCATTCCCCTCCATCCCCAGCCCCTTGGCAACCACTATTCTACTTTTCGTCTCTATGAATTTGATTACTCTAGGTACCTCATATAAGTGGAATCATACAGTATTTGTCTTTTTGTGACTGGCTTATTTCCCTGAGCATAATGTCCTCAAGATTCATCTGCATTGTACCATATGTCAGAATGTCCTTCCTTTTTAAGGCTGAATAATATTCCAATGAATGTATAGACCACAGCTTGTTTGTCCACGCATGTGTTGACAGACACTCGGGTTGCTTCCATGTCTTAGCTAGTGTGAATAACACGGCTATAAACGTGGTTGTACAAAATGGACACATTGATTTTGCTCACTGACATCCATCTCCCTTGCCCAATGGTGCCCCAGAATTCCTCATCAGAATTGCCACTTCTCGATGGGGCTGAATATCTTCAATTTGCCTGTCCAAGTCACTCTCCATCCTTTTCCACTTTTGTATGGGTTCCATCAACAGGCTCCCTGTCCTAGCGCTTCCCACTGGGTGCAGCCAATGTGGAGCCCTGCAGGAGATGGAAGCGGAGGGAGGAAAAAGAGACTGAAGCACTTACTCCCCTGGCTCCCTCCCTGCAGAGCAGTCGTGGCTGGCTGCATCTGTCAGCTGAGGGTCCTAGCTCCTGTCCAGCAGCCTTCATCATACAACTCTCTGGGCAGCTCATTAATCCCTCTCTTTGCCCCTTCTGGCCTGGGGTGGTAACACCCTGGCAGGGACTTTATAAATAGTCCATTATTTATTTATTTGTTTGTTGTTGTTGTTTTGAGACGGAGTCTCACTCTGTTGCCCAGGCTGGAGTTCAGTGGTGCAATCTCGGCTCAGTGCAACCTCTGCCTCCCAGGCTCAAGCAATTATCGTGCCTCAGCCTCCTGAGTAGCTGGGATTACAGGTGTGTGCCACCACACCTGGTTAATTTTTTTTGTTGAGATGGAGTTTTGCCATGTTGGCTACGCTGTTCTCAAACTCCTGACCTCAAGCAATCTGCCCACCTTGGCCTCTCAAAGTGCTGGGATTATAGGTGTGAGCCACTGTGCCCGGCCAATAGTCCCTTTATTAAACCATCTGCAGTGATCCTAATTTTAGAAGCTGTTTCCTACTGGGACCCTGACTCTACAACTACAGTCCATTCCAAAACCTGGCCCTCCAGCCTCCCTATTTGTTCTGGAGCCCCCAAGAACCTTCCAAAGTCCCCTTTTGCTTAAGTGAATCACAGTCGATTTCTGTTGCTGGCAATCAGAAGTGACAGAAAAATGTCTAACAACAAGTAATGCACTGATTAATAAGAATGGACACCAGTAGCCGGGCGCAGTGGCTCACACCTGTAATCCCAGCACTTTGGGAGGCCGAGGTGGGTGGCTCATGAGGTCAGGAGTTCAAGATCAGCCTGGCCAAGATGGTAAAACTTGTCTCTACTAAAAATACAAAAAAAAATTAGCCAGGCGTGGTGGTGGGCACCTGTAATCCCAGCTACTCAGGAGGCCGAGGCAGAGAATTGCTTAAACCTGGGAGGCGGAGGATGCAGAGAGCCAAGATCGCGCCACTGCACTCCAGCCTGGGCAACAGAGAGAAACTCTGTCTCACAAAAAAAAAAAAAAAGAATGGACACCAGTTATACAGGCCCATACCACCTGCACTGGGCCAAGATTTAACTCTTTAGTTGCTGAATCCTGGGAAGCCCTGAGAGAGGACAGAGTGTCAGGCAAGGGAATGAAGGGCAGTCAGAGTTCAAGATCAGCTGGTCTAGATACATTTCCTTTTCTTCTTCTCCTTCTTCTTCTTCTTCTCTTTCTCCTCCTCCTCCTGCTCCTCCTCCTCCTCCTCCTCCTTCTTCTCCCTTCCTCTTCTTCCTCTTCCTCTTCTTCTTCTTCTTTCTTTTTTTTTGAGACAGAGTCTTGCTCTGTCGCCTAGGCTGGAGTACAGTGGCACGATCTCAGCTCACTGCAACTTCCACCTCCTGGGTTCAAGCAATTCTCCTGCCTCAGCCTCCCAACTAGCTGGTATTACAGCCCACCACCACACCTGACTAACTTTTTGTATTTTTTGGTAGAGATGGGGTTTCACCGTGTTGGCCAGGCTGGTCGAGAACCCCTGACCTCAGGTGATCCAAACGCCCCGGCCTCCCAAAGTACGGGATTATGGGCATGAGCCACTGCGCCTGGCCTTTTTTTTTTTTTTAATAGATGGGGTCTTGCTCTGCCACTCAGGCTGGAGTGCAGTGATGTGATCACAGCTCACTGCAGCCTCAAACTCCTGGCCTCAAGTGATCCTCTTGCCTTGGCCTCCCAAAGTCCCAGATGCATTTCAATATTTAAACAATGGATTCATCCACATCAGTGTGGATCAGTGGAGCATCACCCTAATTGGTAAGAAGCAGATGTAGTCAGAATGTTGGGCTGTGGGATCAATGCGATTAACATTGTCAGTGTGGTTAAAATGATTGGGGACATCAGAGTGGGTTCATAGTCATCACTGTTGGAATCAATGTCCAGCATGAGCAAATAAACCATTCTGCCACTGTGTGGAGGGGGCCATTGGGCAGCTGCATGAAGTGGGGAGTCATGGAGCCATTGTATTTGCTCTGAGATCTTTCAGACCATGGTTAGAAAATGGGTCACAAGACCCTGGAAGAAAAACTTGACAGGAACTAGCTGGACCACGAAAGTTTTAAGGCAGCCTATAGGCCACAGAAATGGTCAAGAATGGAAATTCTTGACCAAAAAGACAGGTGGTGGGTGATGATATGAGTGTGGGCCAGAGTTCGGTCTACTCACACCACACCATTCAACACCAGCTCTCAGATACAAGCTATTTCCCGTTCAAGAAAAACATACCCTTCCATACCCTTGCCGACACTTCTTTTTTTGAGGGACGATAGATTGAATGTTTTTGTCAATTGAAGAATTTGTCCTTATTGCAAAACGGGCATGTCAGAAATGATGTAACTGATCCTTTTACGTCTTTGCATATTGAGTCTGTAATGTTTTTTTCTTAAACTCCCTTTTCCTTGACCTGTGGTTCAAGACATCTGAGAACCTCCTGCCGGAATCCACATGCTCTAGAGACCCAGGCCGCTCTCCTCCTTACCTCAATCAGCAAAATACATTTAGCTCTGGCTTTCATGGGAAGGAACTCGGCATACAGCGTCACCCTGGGAATGTAAAAGGGAAAGAAAGGGAGTTAAGATCAGAACTGGGTGGGAAAATGGCTACCGTTTTCTGAATTTGCAGCCGACATTCCTCCAAGGGTGGTCAGTGAACCACTTACATCAGAATTTCCTGAGATGATGTTGGTTAAATATACAGATCTCTAGCTCCCTCCCTTCCTAGACCTTCAGAAACAGACTCCAAGGGATGAGGCCCTGGCATCTGCATTTTTATTTTATTGTATTTATTTATTTATTTATGAGTCTCAGTCTGTCACCCAGGCTGAAGTGCAATCATAGCTCACTGCACAACCTTGAACTCCTGGGCTCAAGTGATCCTCCTGCCTCAGCCTCCAGAGTAGCTAAGACTACAGGCATGCACCACCACTCCTGGCTAATTATTATTATTATGATTTGTAGAGATGTATGTGACCCAGGCTGGTCTCGAACTCCTGGCCTCAAGCGATCCTCCCACCTCAGCCTCCAAAAGCACTGGGAATACAGATGTGAGGCACCATGCCCGGCCTCACCTGCATTTTTAACTCCCCAAGTGATTCTCAAATTTCCTAACTGCTGCCATTGAGCCCTACCCATAATCCAATAAGTCCAGGGAAAAATGTTTTCTTGGCAGGAACACCTCAACCTGAGCCCTTCTCAGCACACAATGTCAATCTGTCCCATCACTGGTGACATTAATTTTCATCACCTGATCAAGCTGGTGATGGAGATTACCAGCTTGGTAATCTGGTCTAACAGATTTCTCCACCCTAAGTTATAATTTTCCATTTGTGATTAAGAATATTTCCCCTTTGTGGGGAAGTATTCAGATTATGCCAATATCCTGTTCCCCATAGAACCTCTACCCACCAGCTTTTAGCCATTGACTATCTCTATCTAAGTCATCTACCACTGTGATGGTAACAAATGGTTGTTTTTGTTTGTTTTGTTTTTTGAGACAGGGTGTCACCCTATCCCCAGGCTTGAGTGCATGGTGTGATCATGGCTCACTGCAGCTTCAACCTTCCAGGCTCAAGCCATCCTCTTACCAGCCTCCAAGACTACAAGTGCTAGGATTATAGGCACACACCACCACGCCTGGCCAATTTTTTTTTTTTTAATTGTGGAGATGAGGTCTCACTATGTTGTTCATGCTGGTCTCAAACTCCTGGGCTCAAGCAATCCTCCTGCCTTGACTTCCCAAAGCGCTAGGATTACAGGCATGAGCCACTGTGCCTAGCCCCGCAAATGGTATTTTTTATTTTTATCATTCCTTCTATATTTATTAGTTGACATTCAACTGTAAGAAAGAGATTTTCCTTCTTCCCCTCATCGTATCTGTCTATCCATTTAATCAGTATAGACTTGTGGAGTCCTATTTATACAATGGGTCGAAGCCTGTTACTATTTTGATGCTTAGAAGAGCTTTTTCCTCCTCCCCTTTGTCTATCTTATCTTCTATCTATCTATCTATCCATTTAATCAATAAGGACTGGAGGATTCCAATTTTATTCCATGAGTTGCAACCTGTTTTTATTATTATTATTATTATTATTATTATTATTATTATTATTATTTTGAGACAGGGTCTTACTCTGTCGCTCAGGCTGGAGTGCAGTGGCATAATCTTGGCTCACTGAAACCTCCACCTCCCGGGTTCAAGCAATTCTCCCACCTCAGCCTCCTGAGTAGCTGAGATTACAGTTGCCTGCCACCATGCCTGGTTAATTTTTGTATTTTTTGGTAGAGACGGGGTTTCACCATGTTGCCCAGGCTGGTCTCAAATTCCTGACCTCAAGTGATCTGCCTGCCTCAGCCTCCTAAAGTCCTGGAATTACAGGTGTGAGCCACCATGCCCGGCCTGCAACCTGTTATTATTTTGATGCTCAGACTGTCCCAGATCTGCCCAGTGGGAGCCCCTTCAAGCTGATTCCTATTGTCTTTTTGGCATGCCTCCATCATTCCTTGAGGTCTTCCCTATTTTCTAGCACAAGATATTCAGCTCATCTTATAGTTCCCTTGCCCCAGCCCTGGAGTCTGTCATCACCTTTCTAAGAAGCCCTGGTTCCCTTTGGCAGAAGATGGTATTTAGAAACCAAGATCTCTGTGCTCAGTGTGCTCATTGCTCCTGGGGTGTCACTGCTGCTGGGCCTCTTGGTGGACACAGCTAAGAGATTATCTGTCTGTCTATCTATCTATCTCTATCTTACTTCTCTCCCTCTCTCTTCACACACTCACCATATCTATATCTATCTGTGTATATTTATTTAAAAACGAGTTCATACTGATACATTCCATTTCAGTTCATCACCTTAGGGTTCATTCTAAACTTCCCCACTTCCATGTTGCAATTCCCTTCTCCAATAATGGGAAATTTGGTCTCATTATCCTCAATATGGCTATGTCTTTGCTCAATTTACTTGTTTGCTTAATGTAACCAGCATCCCAACTGCACTGGCTGCCTCTGTCTGCTGCTTCCACACTTTCCTCCTTTTCACTTCCTCAGACTTGGGGCATGCTGGACAGGGAAGGGAACTTTTAAACCAGGCCCTGCTCCCACCTATCCCATGTTGCCTTCAATTTTGCTAGAAAGAGGAGGCCTTCTTTTCTCTCATATCTCCCACCTAAGGCAGGCATCTGAGCTACTAAATGGCCTCATGTTACTCTCCTAGCTCCTCTTAAGGGGTGGGGGTTGGGGGATAAAGGGAAGTTAATTTCCTTTAACCCTGTGAAGGCAGATGGTGCTGGGGACACATTTAGATCTCCTAGGATCCCTTTACTAGGTCTGTGTGCCCACCTTGCACTTCTGCTAATGGCTCATACCTGCAACCTTCTCTTAGGGATACTCTTGAGCAACTGAAGCTGCATCACCCCAGAGGTACCTAGGAGTTATGCCCATCTCCCCAGGGCAGGCTGCAGACTGGCATGTACGTGTATAAAAGGCCCATCCCCTGGCATTGGGGGAGGGGTGGGGGTCAGATCCTGTGGAGCAATGAACACTCCCTTAGCTCCCTGTGTGCTCAGGTGAGTCCAGAAGAAACCACATCCTTGTGAACTTCTTCCCTGTATCTTTCTCTTAGCATCTTTCACTCTTACAGCTTCCTCCCAAGAGCACTCTCAATAAATCACTTATAGAGGAATCTCTGCCCCCAGTTCTGTCTGCTTCTATGCAACCCAATCAATGGGTTTCCTTACAGAGCATTTCACTTTTCAAAAGGGGGCCTCAGCAATACCACTGAGATTTAGACAAAGTTCTATCATCAGTAAAAGTCCTACCACCATTTTCATATCTACATCTATCAACAACAGAGAAGTTGTTACTTGACCAGGATTGCACAGCTAGTAAGTTAGTAAGCAGAAGAGCCAACATTTTAAACTAGGTTTGTCTATATCATGCAGCCCATGAATCACTTCCCTGTTGGGACAGTTTCACAGTTATAAACAACACTTCCTTAAACATCTTTAGGCTGAAGTCTTTGTCTTCACATTGTTTCCTTAGGACAGATCCCCCTAAGTAGAATTTGAGTCAGAGGGTATGCCTGTTTTTATGATTTGAGATATATATATACTACCAAAGTGGTTCTCCAAAAAGTTGTTCCAATTTATATTCCTTTCAGTACCTCACTCAACAAAAACCATGGGGAATTTCATAACTAAACCCTGATAATAGAAACCAAGATTATAGTGGTTGCTAAAGATTGCAACAATTATCATGGATGACTTTTATATTTTATTCTGTTTTCCGAATGGTATGCTTATATTATTTTTAAAAATCAATAATAATACCATGTTTACCTTTCCTTTACCAAATCGAAGTCAAACTACTAATCATGCAAAAATGTGCAGCAGGATATTCTAAGGGCAAAGCTATTTCTGTCCTTAGAGATCGAGGATTTGTTTTTATAACAAACCTATAACGTATATCATGAAGTCTTTTCATTCTGTTTTTTTGTTTAGTTATAGAGTATTATATGAATGCAATCTCATTGTAAAATAATTTAGCAATACATAAGCATGCAGAGTATATGATGATTCTTCCTCTCCCTATGACCCCAACTCCCATTCCTCTCCCCCAAAGCCATAACTACTAATCAGAGTTTGCTTTGCAATCTTTCAGCTTTTTTTTTGCCCACACAGAGTCTCACTCTCTCATCCAGGCTGGAGTGCAGTGGTGCGATCTCAGGCTCACTGCAACCTCTGCCTCCCAGGTTCAAGTGATTCTCCTGCCTCAGCCCAAGTAGCTGGGATTACAGGTGCATGCCACAATGCCCAGCTAATTTTTTTGTATTTTTAATAGAGATGGGGTTTCGCCATGTTGGCCAGGCTGGTCTCGAACTCCTGACCTCAAGTGATCCACCCACCTCAGCCTCCCAAAGTGCTGGGATTACAGGCATGAGCTACTGTGCCTGGCCTGCAATCTTTCAGCCTCTTTTCTATGAAAAAAATAAATACATAAATTTAACTAACATGCTATTTCTTTCTTTTTCCCTTCTCTTTCCTTCCCTCTCTCCTACCTTTTCCTCCCTCCCTTACTTCTTTCCTTCTTTTTTTTTTTCTTAACATACACAGCACACTGTCAGCGTTCCACCCAAACATCCCCATTCTTAGCATGTCCACGCATGCCAGTCCACCTTCTAACTGCCAGTACCTGTGACCCTTTCCAGAGAACTTTCTCTGGTCAGTAAAGCTTGGCTGGCCAGCCTTTGTGGCAGGCCAGAAGTGCCGAAGAATTTAAACTTCCCGGGAGTAGCCCTCACTGGACAGTTCCCTCATCCTTGAAGTGGGACCATTTGGAGGACCTGCGGCTGAGTCTCCCAGAGGAAACTTCTTGCTCTTAAATTTCTGTGTTAGGTTCCGCTTCAGTAAGACAATATGGAAATCTTTTCATGTTAATAGAGGTAGATCTACAGCTTTATTTATTTTTGAGACAGGGTTTTGTTCTGTCACCCAGGCTGGAGTGTAATGGTGCAATCATAGCTCACTGCAGCCTTGAGCTCCTGGGCTCAAAGATTCTCCTGCCTCAGGCTCCCAAGTAGCTGGGATGACAGGCATGCACCAACATGCCCAGCTAATTTTTCTTTTTCTTTCTTTTTTTTTTTTTTGTAGACATGGAGTCTCACTATTTTGTCCAGGCTGGTCTCACACTCCTGGGCTCAAGCAATCCTCCTGCATTTGCCTCCCAAAGTGCTGGAACTACAGGCATGAGCCACCATGCCTGGCCAAGAATTACTCTTTTTTTCTTTTGAGACAGCGTCTCATTCTGTCACCCAGGCTGGAGTGCAGTGGCACGATAATGGCTTACTGCAGCCTTGACCTCCTGGGGTAGATGATCCTCCCACCTCAGCGTCCTGAGTAGCTGGGACTACAGGTGTGCACCACCACACTTGGCTAATTTTTGTATTTTTTGTAGAGACAAGGTTTCACCATGTTGCCCAGGCTGGTCTTGAATGCCTGAGTCAAGCGATCCACCTGCTTCAGCTTCCTTCTGAAGTGCTGGGATTGCAGGCATGAGCCACCATGCCCAGCTGAGCATTATTCTTAGCAGCTGCATAGTCTTCCTCACCTCGGTAGTATCATCATTTATTTAACTGCCCCCTAATTATGAATGCTTAGGTTGTGTTCAATTTCTTGCTTTTGCCACCTGTGCCACAAGAAACATCTTTTCCTATAATTGTTGTGCCCCATATTTGGCCATTATTTACAGCAGTTCATTATGAAAGCAAGCTACTTGATCTTTATCCAAAGTATGGCAATTATTATAATCAGACTGAAAAATAAAAGAATGAGCAATGAAATTAGCAATGCCAAGAATCAGCTGATTCTGGCATAAATAAATTCCCACTGCAAATAATCACATTTACAGCACTGGGCAATTAGAGGCTTGCCATTTGGATCACGTGTTTGGAAAGCAAGAACCTGTGATCTCAGCCTGGCATTTTTGCCTGGTCTTTGGAGGAACGAGGACAGGCTTTGTGTATAAGCTCATTGTAGACACCAATTTGAAGATCATTCTGAGGCAGGTTTCAAGGTAGAACAGCTGGGCAGCTACCTGAGGTACTGTCTTTAAGAGCAGCTAAAACACAAGTAGGGCGTGGGTTACCTTACTCCAGGTTTCCCACCGCAGCCGCTTACATAAATGGTGTTTGGCTGCGGTGCATGGCGCCCTCTACTGGAGGTAAAAAACACATGGGCCCAGTGCCAACCTGTATTGATGTTTTCGTGGAGAGACACGGGGCAATAACAGGTGATTATCATTTGTTATTTGTTGGTGCTTATTTGCATTTCCTAAATTTGGTAAAACAAAAGTATATTGTCTCTAATGACAAAAATAAAATTGTATTTAATTCCCTTGCTTGAATTAAAGTCTATTCCTTCTTGATGTCCCTCCGTAGAGAGAAAGTGTAATTAATCTGGGATTCTACATGTGATTCCTCTTATCTGCCTTAAAGGGTCTAGAAAACTGTTAAGAACCACCAGCCTACACTCCAGAGTCATTCTCCAAGTCAGTACCAGAAACGCCGTGGATATAAATGATTTAACAGGACCTTCTGACTATATATGCCTGAAACCCCTTTGAAATTGTTGTTCAACATGGTAAGGGCTTTGGCACCAGACACACCTGGATTTGAACCCAGTTGCAACTGGTTTGCCAAAGTTGCTCCAATATTTTCCGTCCCGGTATCTATGCACCTTTGCAGTATGACTGCAGCACATCCCATCAAGAGTTCATTTTCCCCTCCTGGGGATCTGTGTGGCCTTGTGACTTGCTTTGACCACCAGAATGTAGCAGAAATGATGTTATGCTAGTTCCAAGTATAGGCCTCAAGAAGGTTTGTGGCTTCTTCTTGCTGCCTTTGACCCCTGTTCAGATGCCATGGGACCAGGTGCCTGGGTGCCCCATGATTCAGTGGACTGAAGACACATGAGCAAGTCCCATGGAGTCTAGAGGAGCCACCAAACTGCCTCACTGCAGAATCATGAGTTGAATTAATCATTGTTTTAAACCATGAATGCAAAGGTGGTTTGTTACAAAGTAGAAGCAAACCCTACATTCCACTTTTTTTTCTTTTCTCTTTTTTTTTTTTTTTTTTTTTTGAGTCAGAGTCTCACTCTGTTCCCCAGGCTGGAGTGTAGTGGTACGATCTTGGCTCACCGCAACCTCTAACCCCCAGGTTCAAGTGATTCTCCTGCCTCAGCCTCCCAAGTAGCTAGGATTACAGGTGTGCACCACCACGCCTGGCTAATTTTTATATTTTTTAGTAGAGATGGGGTTTTGCCATGTTGTACAGGCTGGTCTCAAACTCCTGGCCTCAAGTGATCCACCTGCCTCAGCCTCCCAAAGTGCTGGAATTACAGGCATAAGCAACTGTGCCCAGGCCCCCTACACTACACTTAATAACTATCTGGCCAGGCACGGTGGCTCACACCTGTAATCCCAACACTTTGGGAGGCCAAGATGGGAGGATCACTTGAGTTCAAGAACAGCCTGGGTAACACAGTGAGACCGCCCACCCTGTGCCCTGCAGCCCATCTCAACAAAAAATTTTAAAAATTAGCTGGGCGTGGTGGCACACATCTGTACTCCTAGCTACTCCAGAGGCTGTGGTGGGAGGATCCCTTGAGACTGGAAGTTTGAGGCTGCAGGGAGGTATGATCGTGTTGCTGTACTCCAGCCTTGGCAACAGAGCGAAATCCGGTTTCAAAAATAATAATAATAACTATCTGACCTCCAGCAAGTCCCTTGTGAGTTCTAAGCCTCAGTTTTCACATCTGTCATACGGGGATAAAACAGTTGTTCAATGGACCAAGTAAGTTAGTCTGAGCAGAACATTTAGCAAAGTGCCCAGCACTTGGTAAGCTCCATTATTATATCTACTTTGGGGAAAGAAAGAAAAGAATGAGGAAGGGAGGAGAGAAGGAGGGTTGTAGAAAAGCACAGATCAGCGTAGAGGAATGGGCTCCTTAATGATCTAATTGACTTTTTTTTTTTTTTTTCTTTTTTTTTTTTGAGACAGAGTTTCACTCTTGTTGGCCAGGCTGGAGTGCAATGGCATGAACTCGGCTCACTGCAACCTCCACCTCCTGGGTTCAAGCGATTCTCCTGCCTCAGCCTCCCAAGTAGCTGGGATTACAGGCATGTGCCACCACGCCCAACTAATTTTGTATTTATAGTAGAGGCAGGGTTTCTCCATGTTGGTCAGGCTGGTCTCAAACTCCCGACCTCGGGTGATCTGCCCGCCTCAGCCTCCCAAAGTGCTTGGATTACAGGCGTGATCACCACGCCCGGCCCTAATTGACATTTATACTTAAAATTCAGAGTACATTACAAGGACTTCTGGTTGTTGAGCTTTTAAGAATTATACAGCAAAATCTTTTTCATCTGGTTTTATGAGTTGCTGCAATAGGATAAAGCTATTGTAAATTAATGGAAACTTTTAATTGCATTTAATCACATCAAAATATCTCCAACTAAATGTTTCTAAATAATGAACTTAAGGGAGCCATTTTTATAACTAGATAGGAACATTGTATAATTTAAGACATTATTTTTATGTAAGTGGATAGAGTTACAGTGGTGGGAAGCCAGTGGCTCTCTTGGGTGGCTAAATATTTCTTCTGCAATTTTGTTTCTAGTTTTTATTTGCCCTCCTCACAGATAAAACAGATATTTAGGCTGGGCGTGGTGGCTGATGCCTGTAATCCCAGCACTTTGGGAGGCTGAGGCAGGCGAATCGCTTGAGGTCAGGAGTTCGAGACCAGCCTGGTCAACATGGTGAAACCCCGTCTCTATTAAAAATACAAAAATTAGCCGGGTGTGGTGGCTTGCTCCCATAATCCCAGCTACTCGGGAAGCTGAGGTGGGAGGATCGCTTGAACCCAGGAGGTGGAGGTTGCAGTGAGCCGAGATATCACACCACTGCACTCCAGCCTGGGTGACAGAGTAAGAATCTGTCTCAAAAAAAAAAAAAAAAAAAAAAGCTATTTAGTGGAGTAGTTCAGATAATAGGTTTGGAGGGTCAAGTGATGTTTAGACATCAGCTCTGCCATTTACTAGCTATGTGACCTTGGGCATGCTACTTAGTTTCTACAAAGCTCCAGCTTTTGTACCTGTAAAATGGAGATGATCATAATATCTACATCCTAAGATGAGCGTTAAAGTGGTAATACACGTAAAGCACAAGGCTCAGTGTCTGGAATGTAATGATAGCTCAATAAACACATGGAAGGGCTACAGTAGTGTTCAATACATGAATAACTAAATGGGGAAGAAGTAGGGAGCAGGCAGGCAAGCTGGGGACCCTTAAGATAAGCATGAGATAAGGGGGAAAGGCCCTCCTAGCTCCTCTATGTCCTTTATTTTATTCCCCTGGTGTCCTGTGCCATAATCCCAGAACCCCATGGGAAGAATCTCTCGTCCTCTTTGTAGTCCCGCCCCTTTGCTGTTTTGGGGTGTGATTTTCTCTGTTCCAGCTACTCCACCCTTGCAATCGCATCTGCTTATAGGCTTCCGGAGGCTTCTCAAAATTCTGATCCACTGATGGCACCATTTTCTTGCTCTCCAGTACTCTTAAGTATTTATTCTATTTCTTAGCTGGGCGCCATGATGCATGCCTGTAATCCCAGCACTTTGGAAGGCCAAGGTAGGCAGATCGCTTGAGGCCAGGTATTCAAGACCAGCCCAGGCAATACAGTTAGACCCCGATCTCTACCAAAAAATAGAAAAAATTAGCTGAGCATGGTGGTGTGTGCCTGGAAGGCTGAGGCAGAAGGATCACTTGAGCCTGGGAGTTCGAGGCTGCAGTGAGCCATGATTTTGCCACTGTACTCCAGCCTGGGTAACAGAGCGAGACCCTGTCTCTCACAAAAAGAAAAGATTTATTCTATTTCTTACTACTTCTATGTCATTTCCAGGAAATGTGGAAGAAGAAGAAATAGAAAATGTCACTTCTCATTCTACCATCTTGAACAAGAATTTCTGTGGACATTCTGAATATTTAAATCCTTTATCTTTCCTTATATGAGAAGAAAATCCAGTGACTGTTTGAAGTCTATTTCTACAGGCATCTCTCTGAGCATCCCTGGTAAGGGAATTTGATTTGCTCTTCTGTGAGTACATTCCTTCCAGCCACGAGGGGAAAACGGTATCGTCCTCAATGAACTCATCATATTCATGAATAGGGCAGTAGTTGTGTCTGCAGGAATTCCTGGAGCTGGGCCAGAAGTGGAGCACATTGTCCACAAGTCCCTGCCAGCCCAGATTTATGGCTGCGGCTCCATTAATAGCCTTTCCTTCAAGCTCCAGTGGTTTGTAAGCTCATCCCAGATCCAGAAGTGTATGTCAAATGCCTACTCTACAGAGCCCTGGAGGAATTAATCATGAATCAAGGAGGGAAGGACTGAGGAGAGCTGAGAGCCACTCACCATCCTTCCAGCCTCCCAAGTGGCAGGAGGAGGCTGGGAGTTTGCTCATGTGTCAAATCCATGTGGTCATATCTCCCCTGTCCCTGTTCTATCTACAGTGATACCTTGAGTCATTCATCCGTCATCCATCATACATCACAATGACGCTTGAGCTTCTTGCCAAAGCCTTCAGCAGATCAAATGCTTGTTAATAAATCTTGAGTGCTCTGCCAGGCACTGTCCTGGGCATTTTACAGAATGTTGTCATTTAATGACTATTTTAAGGGACCCCATGAGGTGGGGATGTTGTTGTTCCATTTTAGAGATGAGAAAACAGATGCAGGAAGGTTCAGTGACTTGCCTGAGGTCATACAGCTATTATGTGACAGAGCAGCCAGGATTCAAACCCAAGCCGTCTGGTTTCAGAGCCCATGATCTATTTTAGAATTAGCATTATGCTGGCTGGGCGCAGTGGCTCACGCCTGTAATCCCAGCACTTTGGGAGGCTGAGGTGGGTGGATCACGAGGTCAGGAGATCGAGACCATCCTGGCCAACATGGTGAAACCCCGTCTCTACTAAAAATACAAAAAAAATTAGCTGGGCGTGGTGTCAGGCGCCTGTAGTCCCAGCTACTCGGGAGGCTGAGGCAGGAGAATGGTGTGAACCCTGGAGGCGGAGCTTGTAGTGAGCCGAGATTGCGCCACTGCACTCCAGCCTGGGCGACAGAGCGAGATTCCGTCTCAAAAAAAAAAAAAAAGAATTAGCATTACCCTTCTAGGCTGTCTCTTCCAGTCTTCCCCAATCATGATGCTCAGCAGGCATAAGAAATCAATCCCTGACCTATTACCCCTGAGGGGGTGGGCGCTCTAGCAGGACTGAACAGATCCCCACCCTCCAATGCTGATCTTGCTGCTTGTGCTGCCAAAGAGCCAGCCTGCCCGCAACAGAGACCAACATGGAGCCCCCAGGATGGAACCACTCCATGTCACTTGGTAGCAACTTAGGTACATACATTGGACTCTTCCAGTTTTGAAGGAGCAGCAATTCATCTTGACCGAATCGGCACCTATTCTGAGTATTGGTTTATCTTTCCTGCCCACAAGGTCTCAGTCACCACCATCACCTGAGGGCTCACACAATGTCTGACCCACTGACAAAGGATCCATCATAACATTGCATGGGACCCAAGGAGCCCATATAGAGTGAAGGAGATGTAGAAGCGGATGTATGGCCTGGAATCCGCTGGTCCTATCATATATTGTGCTATCCTGAAGCTGCTGGCCTAAGAGAGCAATGGAACAGGACTCTGAAGGTGTCACTAAGGTGTCAGCTTGGAGACGATGCCCTGTGACCATGGGGCACTGTCCTCCAGGACACAATACCCACTTAAGTCTATTGCCATTATGATGCTTCATTCCCAGGAGAAAAGATTCATGGGTCTGGAAATTAAGGGGTTGAAGTAAGAGTAGGCTTCACTGTCATCAGTCTCAGTGACCCAGATCAGGGGATTTGTACTTCACATCCTGCAACTTCTGGGCTCGGTGGGTCTAGAGGTCCTGGCTCCCAGGGAGGGAAAGCTTCCACAGGAGACACAGCAAGAGTCTCAGTAGAATGTCTTTTTTGAGATGGAGTCTTGCTCTGTCGCCGAGGCTGGATAGCAGTGGCGCGCTCTCAGCTCACTGCAAACTCCGCCTCCTGGGTTCAAGGGATTCTCCTGCCTCAGCCTCCCAAGTAGCTGGGATTACAGGTGTGTGTCACCACACCCAGCTAATTTTTGTAATTTTAGTAGAGACGGGATTTCACTGTGTCGGCCAGGATGGTCTCGAACTCCTGTCCTCACATGATCCACCTGCCTTGGCCTCCCAAAGTGCTGGGATTACAGACGTGAGCCACCGTGCCCGGACCCATTAGACTTTAAGCAACAGCTGCTACCCAGTAACTTTGGGCTCCTTTGTGTCAAGAAATGAACAGGCAAGAAAAAGAGTCACCGTGGGCTCCTTGGGTCCCATGTCAGAGAAATTGATCCTAACCACCATTAAGACTTAATAAGCCCCATCTATCATAGGGCCACCCAGGTGATATACCAGACATCTCTTGGTAATCTCCTGCTCAATTTTGGTGTTAAATGGACAAGCGCAGCAGCTATGGCCTAAAAGAGGCATGGCGACCAGGGACTCGAATCCCTTAGGCATGAGATCTCAGTCACCCACCCAGGTAAACCGTCTAGATCAGCGAGAGTGCTCGCTGAAGCTGAGAGGAATTTAGAATGGGAAGCAGAGGTGGGAGACATTTGGCCTTTTGGCCAAGGCAACTTCTGCAAGGAACTCAACTGTGAGCTCCATTGGCATCCATTGCAGCCGTGAGACTTTTGCAGAAAAGAGATTATCCAGAATCCTGGAGGAACTGTTCTTAGGCGGGGTGAGCTGATTACAATTATGGGCTGCATAACACATTTGAGTCAACAACAGACCACATATATGATGGTGGTCCCATAAGATTATAATACTGTGGTAATTAATTAACTTATTTATTTTGCAATCTTTTATTGAAGAGTACTGCTTCGTGCAGAGCAGGGCTAACTCATAGGCAGTGCACCCAGAGTTGGCCTATTTTCATTATTCTTTAATAGCGAGGGGGTCTAGCTATGTTGCCCAGGCTGATCTCAGACTCCTGGGCTCAAGGGATCCTCCTGCCTCAGCCTCCCAAAGTGCTGAGATTACAGGTGTAAGGTACCATGCCTGGCCTTTTTTTTTTTTTAATTTAATACTGTGTTTCTACTGTAGGTTTTCTATGTCTAAATGTGTTTAGAGATGCAAATACCATTGTGTTCGAATTGTCTGCAGTATTTAGCACAGCTACATGCTGTACGGGTGTGTAGCCCTGGAGCAATAGGCTATACCGTATAGCCTAGCTGTGTAGGAGGTTGTCCCATCTAGCTTTGTGTGAGGACAGTTTATGATGTTTGCACGGTGACAAAATCACCTATTGATGCATTTTTGGAACACATCCCCATCATTAAGTGACGCATGACTATATTTGAAGCAAGTGGGTCCACCCTGGACTGTGGAGGATGCTGTGATGTGCTACTTGGTCTGCCCTTCAGGACTGAGGCTTTTATTCCCTCCAAAATGAGCAGGAGCATTGCCTGCCAGGAGCTGAGTCCCTTGCAGAAGTTGCCTTGGCCAAAAGTAGCTGCCTTGCCTAAGATCATGCTCCATCCTTGAGGGCAGCCCACATCCGATGCCTGGTTGGTGTGAGGGTAAAAAGGCCTAGCCCCCCCGCCCCAATCTGAAACACCTCTGAAGGGCCACCTCTGCTTCTGAAACCCTGTAAGCTGACCAGAGGCCTCTGTGGCAATGGTATGGCAACTCAGCTTCCCCCTTCGCTGGTCCTAATTTTCTCACTTTCTTACAGGTGTTAATCCTAGTAACCACCTGCACAGTAATCTCCATCTCAAAGTCTATTCCCCAGGATCCCATCCTAGAACAGGGACCATGGTGCTCTTGCTCAATGCTGCGTCCTGGCACCTAGCATTTCTAGGTACTCAAGAAATATTGGTGGAATAAATGAATACACTACAAGGGATCGCCCTGGTCCTCTTGCAAAATTTTCCTAATGATTCCTTACCTCCAAGCTGTTCTACCTGCCATAGCCAGATCCATACTTCTAGGTACCTCCGCTGCTCAAGAACTCTCAGTGGCTCCTCATCACCAATAGAATCCCTTTGGCCTGGCATTTTAGGCCTTTAACAAGCTTGCCCTGGCCTACCTGTCCAACCTCAGCTTTTAATTCTTTTTTTTTTTTTTTTTTTTGAGTCAGAGTCTCACTCTGTCATTCAGGCTGGAGTGCAGCAGTACGATCTTGGCTCACTGCAACCTCTGCCTCCCAGGTTCAAGCGATTCTCCTGCCTTAGCCTCCCAAGTATCTGGGACTACAGGTGCCCGCCACCAAGCCCGGAAAATTTTTGTATTTTTAGTAGAGATGGGGTTTCACCATGTTGGTCAGGCTGGTCTCAAACTCCTGAGCTCAAGTGATCTATCCGTCTTGGCCTCCCAAAGTGCTGAGATTACAGGCATGAGCCACCGCGCCTGGCCAGCTTTCTCTTACAGATCTCATCCCTCCAAGCTGACCAACCAGACAATTAGCCTTCCTCAGCCTCAGCTACGGCTTCCTCTTTTCATGTGGTTCACTTCCTAGAAAATGTCCTAGATCTTCTCCAAGTCTCCTTCTGGGTCTTTCCAAATCCTTTGCCTTCTTAATAGCAAGGCAGTAAAATGCAATGGGTATAGAGCCCAGGCACTGGGGTTAGAAGGTCCAGTTCCTATTCCAGCTCCTCCACCACTTCCTGGCTGTGTTGCCTAGAGCAAGTTACTTTACCTCTCTGTGCCTCAGTTTCTTTATCTGTAAAATGGGGTTAATAATAGAATTTACCTTCTAGGGAAAATGAGAGATTAAAGGAGATCATCTGGGTAAACCGTTTAGAACAGCACCTGCCACATAGTTAACACTAAATATTGGCTATTATCATTTTTTAGGGTGGAGTCCAACACGCATTTTCTATAATGGGCCACATAGTGAATAGTTCAGGCTTTGCAGGCCATATATCTGCTGAAACTACTCAGTTCTGTTGCTGTGGCATGAAAACGACCATAGATAATACATAAATGGAGGGTGCGGTGTGTTCCAATAAAACTTTATTTACAAAACCAGTCAGCAGGTCGAATTCTGCCCGTATGCCATAGTGTGCCAATCTCTGCTTCAGGGCCCATCACAAATAGGAAGTCCTCCTCGATGCCCCAGGAGACAGTGGCTTCTTCCTACAGCTCTGAATATTCTCAGTACCTTAAACTACAACAGCAACAGCAAATTGCTGCCTGAGTGACATGTGGTTAGCATCATACTCTGCCTTGCGTTTAGGTAGGAAGAGCGTGGGAAGCAGCATTCATGGTAGCTAAAAGCATGGATATTGTAGTTACCCACCATGTGATTCAGACAGATGATTTCACTCTCTGAGGCTCAGTTTCCCCAACTGTAAAACGCAGATTGCAATAATACAATAACACACACCTCTTGGGCTGCTGCAATGCGTCCAAGTGGAACAGTCAATCAATGCTAGATGCATTATCATTTCGCTTTTACAACCTTCCAGCCATTGTGTTGTTTTGCTGCTGTTGTTGATCATAACAATACTGATAATGATGCTATTTTCTTGCTACACCATAGCTCCTTGATCCTGGAAGCCCTGGTATAGCTATCTCTGCACCCCTGCTGCCCCATCTCAGCCCCTAACTCCTGATCCAGACCATGAACAGACACGTGGATGGGCAGCCTGGCTGCATAGCCAGCACTGGGTATTTACTTACGACTGGGGAACTCCTCCGATCCCGAAGCCCACCAGGCCCCGGAGCACCAGGATCCAGCTATACACGGGCGCAAATGCACTAAGGATGCCATAGTACAGAGTCCACAGCACGCTGATCTTCAGCCCCTGAAGAGAAGGAAGACACGGAATCACAAGGGCTTTTCAGCACCTCCAGGTAGCGTTTGCACCTCACTGAGAGCCGCCGATAATGGGGTCACATTAAAGGGAGCCTACACAACCAAGGGGGTACTGGGTTCCTCTGTATGGGGAGTGCCAACCCACAGGGGTTGGGTGAGAAAATCATGGGGCATTCTTGGTTGTCCCAATGATTGGCATTGAATGCCAATCTGGGCCAGATATGTCAGATATTCCACAATACAGGAGACAAAATAGATTGTCCTGCATCTCATACCATCTCAAATGTTCTGCCCGACCATCATGCAGCTGAAACTCTGTTTCTGATGATCTGCACCTAGACTTTTTGCTCTGTTTCACACATTCAAGACTTTTTTTTTTTTTTTTTTGGCATAGTGTGAATATACACTTAATTTTTCAGGAACGCAACTTTCAGGTAAGTCAAAAGAAAATTTACTTTGTTTTACCTGGAACTTTACAAAATTGTTCTTTTCAGAAAACCATGCTGTCAATGACAACGCTGTGTGCAGCATTTGAGTCACTGATGGGAAGCTTCAGTGTCAGCTTTCACTCAGGGTTTATCTATGAATACACTGATCTAAACCTTATTTTAAAAGGTCAAATGTAAAGAAAAACCATCAACAATATTCAGTTAAGTCCAAACGTATTTACAATCAGGGGCAGATATTGACCCCTTCCTCTTGTCATCTAGACAGAGTTGTAGGTAAACATTTGCATATTAAAAATAAATTTTATTTTATTAATGACGTTTTAAATTTCTCCCTCCTAGTTAGCACTTTAGAACTGATTTCTTTCTTTTTCTCATTAACAAGTTTATTTTGGCATCATTATTCTAACATCTATTGTACCAGGATAAAACTATATCAAAGTATAACTGTACTGAGTGATATTTTTACTATGAAGAATAAAACATAATATAAAGGCAGTTTCCTGTGCGGGCAAACTCATTTTGAAGTTATTTTAATGAATGACATACTCTTACATCCTCCTAATTTGCAAATGAAACAAGTAACTTATTTCTTTCTTATTTATTTATTTTGAGACAGGGTCTCATTCTGTTGCCCGGGCTAGAGTGCAGTGGTGCAATCTCGGCTCACTGCAGCCTCAACCTCCCGGGCTCAAGTGATCATCCCACCTCAGTCTCCCATGTAACTGGAAGCACAGATGTGTGCCACCATGCCTGGCTAATTTTTGTATATTTTATAGACATGGGGTTTCACCATGTTGCCCAGGCTATTCTCAAACTCCTGGGATCAAGTGATCCACCCACCTCAGCCTCCCAAAGTGCTGAGATTACAGGTGTGAGCCAACACGCCTGGCTGATTTCTTTTTTAAAGTACGTGAATGACTAGGTTATTTTATCTTTGGAAATTTTTTCTGGATAGTTAAGAAGGCGTTATTCAGTGTTCACTTTTTTAAAGAAATGGAGTGTTGCTATGTTGCCCACGCTGATCTTGAACTCCTGAGTTCAAGGGATCCTCCTACCTCAGTCTCCTGAGTAGCTGGGATTACAGAGGCACATTTTCCACATTTTTAAAGTAAAGAGGGCATGTGTTCAATAGGGTCAAGAACCACAGAGGGACACAATGCTTCAAGACAAACATGGGGCCGAGCACGGTGGCTCACATCTGTAATCCCAGCATTTTGGGAGGCTGAGGCCGGGGATCACTTGAGGCCAGGAGCTCAAGACTAGCCTGGCCAACATGGTGAAGCCCTGTCTCTACTGAAAATGCAAAAATTAGCCAGGTGGAGTGGCGGGTGCCTGTAGTCCCAGCTACTTGGGAGTCTGAGGCAGGAGAATTGCTTGAACCTGGGAGGTGGAGGTTGCAGTGAGCCAAGAACTTGCCACTGCACTCCAGCCTGAGGGACAGAGTGAGACTCTATCTCAAAACAAAACAAAACAAAACAAAAAAGACAAACATGGCACATATTCCTGGAGTGTTAATTACCCTTAGAGATTGGAAAAAAAATTAAGAGTAAACAAATACTATTTTTATATCACAATCAATGCCAAATATGAGAGGGTAAAATGCAAATTTCACGTGCATTTTCAACCTGCTCTGTGAGGTCTGGTCAGGCCTCTTTCTGCAATACCCTTCCCAGAGCTCCAAGGGTGAGTTCACCTTCCTGTCCCCCAGGGAACACTTCAGGGGGCAAGTATGAAACATACTGATTTTTTGCTTTAAGATATTAAACTGAATTAAAGGAGATGAGTGAGGAAATTTGGAAGCCTACCAAATGATTTCGAGTCTTTTAGAAAATGACTTTATGTGGCAGAGAGAATATTTTAAATAATTTTGCATCACCTCACAAGAAAGTTATTTTTTTCATTTCAGTCTTCATTTTTATGATTATGTCAAAGAGTCCGTGAGGTGCCAGTCTGTCTTTAACACCTATTTATCTATTTGTATTTATTTATTTTTTTTTTGAAATAGAGTCTCGCTCAGTCACCCAGGCTGGAGTGCAGTGGCACGATCTCAGCTCACTGCAACCTCCGCCTCCTGGGTTCAAGCGATTCTCCTGCCTCAGCCTCTGAGTAGCTGGTATTACAGGTTTGCACCACCATGGCCAGCTAATTTTTGTACTTTTGGTAGAGTAAGTGTTTTGCCATGTTGACCAGGGTTTCGCCATGTTGCCCAGGCTGGTCTCGAACTCCTGGACTCAAACAATCCACCCACCTCAGCCTCCTAAAGTGCTAGGATTACAGGCATGAGCCACCACACCCAGCCAACACATTTTAAAAAATAGCTACTCTCCTCTCTATTTAACACAGAAGGCACTGGGACAACCACAACCACTAAGAATTTAATAACATTGCTTTGTTTGTGTTGCATTTATTTTTGCAGTCACTTCCTACTTAAGGCAATTGTTATTGATCTTCCAATTAAGACTGTATAGTTTCACTTTCCAAAAATATATTACAATTTTTTTATTAGCCCCATGTTACAAGTGATCGATTTTTAAAAAGCAATTTGATATAAAGAAAGTTATTCAGGTCCGGGCAAGGTGGCTCATGCCTGTAATCCCAGCACTTTGAGAGCTCGAGGCAAAAGGATCACTTGAGGCTGGGAGTTTGAGACCAATCTGGGCAACATAGCGAGACCCTTGGTCTACAAAAATTAAATCAAAAAAAAGAAAGAAAGAAGAAAGATATTAAGTACATAAGATAATAGGTGGCACAGGATTTACTAAAGTCTAGGAAGTGATGATAATAATAAAGCAACATTTTTGCACTCCTAAATCCATGACTGTAACATCGGTACTGGCCATACAGACATTTAATCCCTTTCTTTTGGCTTAAGCTAACTTAATAGGGACTTTCTTCCTTGGAATCCAAGGAGTCTTGAATCAAACAGAAGACTTAATTGGCATCAGCGGGAGAAAAGAAGGCACCGAGACAAGTGCATGGGAGTTAACCCTCCTTCAAGGTCTGCTGGGAGCCGTATTATCTGTCCTGTTTGATCACAACAGGTTGCAGCTGGCTCTGCATTTGTCTGTTGATGCCAGGGCTTTCCAGCTGCCCCAAAATGAGGGCTCAGCAACCCTGTGTAAGGCCTGTCATGGATATTACAAAAGCAGGGGGTACTGCCAGCAAGCCCCACCCAATAGCTTGTTTGGGACTCCGCAGACATGTCTCACGGGCCTTTGGGCTTTTCATTAACTATGACTGTCATTCCGTCTAATATCTGTTCTGCCCTCTATAGATTGATAGCTCCTTCCTTCCTTCTTTCCTCCTTCCCTCTCTCCCTTCTTTTTACATTTATTGAGCATCCCCTTTATATAAGGCTCCAGGGTAGATGCATAGACATTATGCATTCATTAATTTGCTCATTCAATAAGCATGTATTGAGCACCTGCTGTATACCAGACACTGACATATTTTCTTCACCCATTCATTCATTTATTCAATAAACACATGTTGAACACATGCTGTGTAGCCAGCATTAAAGATACTGATATATATTATTCATCCATTCATGCATAAAATATGCATATATTGAACACCTGCTGTTTGCTAGGCCCTGGGCTACCGTAAGGAACATGACAGCCAGAGTCTCTGACTTCATGGAACTTTCATTTGCATTTCATTAACCACTGTCACAACATTACACTGGGTCCTCACAGCAGCCCTGTGAACAAAGGTTGTTATTTTCATGTCTACTTTACAAATTAGCATAGCAAGGGCCCAAGTAGTTGAGCAATTTGCTGAAGATCCGTAAGTGGTGCCAAAGTTGGAGCCAGAACTTCCAACCTTGAATGAGCCACTCCCTTCCTCTAGAGCCTTTGATGGCTCCCTGTGACCTCTGACAGAAAACATAAATGCACAATGCACATGTAACACAGCAAGGATGGGGGCCTGGTGGAATTACAGGGAACTTTCCCTGTCGTGTCAGCCTCTGTTCAACTCTAGCCAAAAGATACCATGACAAAATGTGGGTTCCAGGCCTCCAGATTACCTGATTTTCCAAAAAACACATAACTTTATTTTTATGCAAGATGTCATTTTTGAAATGGAGGCAACTGATTCAAAATCCTATAAAACATTGTGCAGGATAAATAAAACACATCGGGGGCCATATTTGGCCTATGGGTTACCAGTTTGCAACTTGTAGCCTAGAAAGCCTGGTGCTCGTGGGCCAAATGTGGCCTGTGGTATTCTCTAACACGTTCAACCGAAGGACAGTATTTACAGGTCGAGGAGGCCCAAGGATCATCAGAGGGAGTCCGAGCGCCTGCCAGGCACCTTCACTTCCTTCTTAAAGATAAGATAGACCTAATAGCTTTTGAACTAGATAGTGACCGCTCCATACCATATTCTAAGTGTATTATACACTTTTTCCCTCTCTCCCTTCCTTCCTTCCTTCTTTCCTTCTTTCCTCCCTCCCTCCATTCCCTCCCCCCACTTCCCTCCCTCCCTTCCTTCCTTTCCTTTCCTTCTTTAGAGATGACATCTTGCTCTGTCACCCAGGCTGGAGTGCAGTGGCTCAGTCACAGCTCACTGCATCCTTGAATTCCTGGGCTCAAGCGATCCTCTCACTTCAGCCCCCAAGTAGCCTGGACCACAGTCACATGCCATCATGCCTGGCTACATTTTCTTATTTAATCCCCCCATTAAAGTGCCTATTATGGAGTCTATTTTGCAGATGGGGAAACTGAAGCTCAGAGAGGTGAAGCATCTTGCCCAAGCTCACCTCAGTCAACAGGGGTGCACTGTGATATAAACCTGGATGCGTTTATCTCCATGTCTTCAAGACCACACACCTACAGTTTCCTTCACGTTTCCATGGCTGCCACAAACTCCCAGGTGGTAGAAACTTCTGTAGGAACCAAAGTGGCTCACTGAGTCCTAACCCCGTATGTGAATGCCCCACAATATCATGCGGTGAACGCCCCGGCAGGAATCTTATAGCTGGGCCAGGGCAGATCAAGGAGGTTCTCGGTGGTTGCCAAGGCTTGCCAGCTGCCTGGCTTGCACAGTGTTCCTGGGGGAATTTTGGGGAAGCTTTATAATTAGAGTCTGATCTGTCCTTCCTGAGGTTGGGCCAGAATTCCATGCTGGGGAGGAGGAAGCTCTGCAATCTGGGGACACTTTCTCTTTCCCTCTGGTCAGGCCGGTTTCATGTTGGGTATGGAATTTATCAAGCTGTTTGGAAGAACTGGCGGGACACCATATGGGCAGCCTTCCTGGGCTTCATCTATTTGGGATGAATGAATGTTCAACTAATCAACTAAATTCTGAGGGATAATTCAGTTATGTCTCCCAGCGGCCAAGGTCAGGGTTAAGGATGTGGACCCTGGAGCCAGGTGTGCCTGTATTTCAATGCTGGCATTGCCATTTACGGACACCACAAGCTTGGCAGTGGTATAATAATAGACATTTATGTCATTTTCTCTGTGCCAAGAGTTTTATGTACAAGGGCCATTTACTCCTCATAACAGCACCATGGGAGAGACTATTATTATCCCACCTACAGATGAGAAAACTGAGACACAGAGAAGTTGAATAGCTTGTCTTTAATTAGAGGAGCTGGGATTTGAACCCAAGCAGTCTGGCCTCAAAACCCATGCTTTTCACAATGACACTGCATTATTTCACTTGTCCAAATGAGCTTCTTAGGTAAATATTGAAATGAGGGCTGAGGCCAGGCATGGTGGCTCACACCTATAATCCCAGCACTTTGGGAGGCCGATGTGGGCAGATCACGAGGTCAGGAGATCGAGACCATCCTGGCTAACACGGTGAAACCCCGTCTCTACTAAAATTATAAAAATTAGCCTGGCCTGGTGGCACGTGCCTGTAGTCCCAGCTACTTGGGAGGCTGAAGCAGGAGAATCGCTTGAACCTGGGAGGCAGAGCTTGCAGTGAGCCAAGATCTCACCACTGCACTCCAGCCTGGGTGACAAAGCGCGACTTTGTCTCAATTAAAAAAAAAGGAAAAAAAGAAAGAAAGAAAGAAATGAGGGCTGAGCAGGCCCAGGAGATGAAGAAAGAACATGAAGAGCGGATGCCACATCACTGCAACTTGGCGATATTGTTTGCACATGTTTTCTAGAGCCTGGTTTCTCAACCTCAGCACCGCCAACATCTTGGACTGGGTCATTCTTTGTGGTGGGGGCTGTCCCATGCACTGTGGGCTATGAAGCAGAATCCTTGGCCCCTATGCACTGGATGCCAGTAGCACACCCCTCCCCCAACGTGTGACAATCAAAAATGTCTCTAGACATTGCCAAGTGCCCCTAGCCCTGAACTGAGAACTACTATTTTGGAAGGTGCCAAAATATGGTTACAACCTTCAAGATTCAGTAAATGGCATTTCTGAAAACCCCTCTGTAAATCTCTTTAAAATCTCCTCTGAGGCCCTTCACAAACATGAAGATGTCTATATGGGAACGCCAAGTGAATTACTGCCCCTAGTGGCAGAGTAAATATACTCTTCCAAGGGAAGTTGGGATCCTACATGAATGACCATTGTGCATTGTGGACTTTCCAGGTCAACAAAGAACACTCATCAGGCAGTTGCTGCTCTGGAGAGGATAAGGCAGTTGCTGCTCTAGAGAGGATAAGAAAGTAGCAGAGAGTGGAAACAAGGAGGTCTGGTTCTCATCCACCACAGCTCAGTCACTCAAGAAGTATTTATTGAGTGTGCACTCTCAACCAGGGAGGTCAGGCTCTGGGGCCAACTCAGTGAACAAAACAAATGCAGCCCCTTTCCTCACGGAGTTTACTAAATTCCCTCCACACTCTTCAGTCTTGTGCCTGTGGCAGACAACACTAGTCAATCACAGCACTATCCCACTGAGCCTTCTGACTCCTCAAATCCATGTTTCTGGCATCCTCTAATAAATGATTAGAACAGACACAGAGACAAAACCCACCTGCCCTTTCATTTTGGGGATTCAATGAATGGTAGCTATGAATATCTGTGTTTTCTAATTCAGCCTCCTCTGATATAAATAAGGAAATTTCAGCCCTAGATGGGGAGTGGCTTGCTTTAGCCATGCAGTGTCAGATTCAAGCCCAAAGTTAAGGTATTTTTACTCATTTTCTGTTATATTCCTCACTGCCTTATGATTCAGCAATTGGATAGCAGAATTTGGGGTTCAGCAAATTTCCTCATTATGGATTCCTGAAGTGTGTGTGTGTGTGTGTGTGCATGTTTGTCTTTTGTGTGTGTGTGTGTGTGTGTGTTTGTGCATGTTTGTCTCAGGAACAAATAAATGAATTTTTTTTTCCAGACAGAGTCTCGCTCTGTTGCCCAGGCTGGAGTGTAGTGGCATGATCTCGGCTCACTGCAGCCTCCCCATCCTGGGTTCAAGCAATTCTCCTGCCTCAGCCTCCTGAGTACCTGGCACTACAGGTGCATGCCACTGGGCCTGGCTAAGTTTTGTAGTTTTTGTAGAGATGGGGTTTCGCCATGTTGCCTAGGCTGGTCTCTAACTCCTGAGCTCAGGTGATCTGTCCTCCCAAAGTGCTGGGATTACAGGCATGAGCCACCACTCCTGGCCTCCTTTGATTATTTTAAAGGCTTAAAGATTAACATTGGATTCAGCCTCAGACAGCCACAGCTTTACAGTTCTTTTAACGGCTGCTCAGCTCCATCAAAACAAAAATGACTCTGTTTTATTTTCAGAGGTGTTTTTTCTTCTCTCCTTCCTTCCCTCCTCCTTCCCTCCCTCCTTTCTTCCTTTTTTCTTCCTTCTCCCCCTTCCTCACTCTCTCTCCCTACCTCCTTCCTTTCTTCCTCCCCCCTCCCTTCCTACCTCGCTCTCTTTCTCCTTTCTTCTTTCCCCCTTTCCTTTTCTTTCTTTTTTTTTTTTCTGAGACAAATTTTCACTCTTGTTGCCCAGGCTGGAGTGCAATGGCACGATCTCGGCTCCTGAGTAGCTTACAGGCATGCGCCACCATGCCTGGCTAATTTTGTATTTTCAGTAGAGATGGGGTTTCACCATGTTGGTCAGGCTGGTCTCGAACTTCTGACCTCAGGTCATCCTCCCACCTCGGCCTCCCAAAGTGCTGGGATTACAGGCATGAGCCACCGCGTTCATGCCCTCTTTAGTTCCTTCCTTTTTTTCTTCCTTCCCTCCCTCTGTCCCTTCTCCCTCCCTCCCTTCTTCTTTACTTCCCTCCTCCTTTTTTTTCCTTCCTTCCTTCCTTCCTCTCTCCTGTCCTTAAACTCTTGTTCATTCTTCCAAACAGAAAATCACCATGCCATCACTCATATGCTCCAGAAACAGGAAGTGGGTGGGAGAGCAGATGGGGGCAGAATCTAAGGAGCTGCCACTGAAGACCAGAGTAATTCCTTCTTGGGTTAACAGGGGGGTAATAACCAGCTTTTACTTCCTTTGGGAGCCCCAGAGAGGCCTTTCCAACTGCCATCTCCAGCCCCATCACCGGCCAAGACCCCGAGGCCCATCATGGCTGCATTTAGTTTCCAGCCTGCTGCCTCTGGAGTTACATTCTTGGCAATTATATTGATCACCATTTCTTGGCAGTTATATTGATCACCATCTTCCAGGTGTCTGCTGGCCCAAGTTTCCTGCGCAATAGCAGTGAGAGGGGATGCAGCTGGAGTCTGCATCCTCTATGGCATTGCTGGAACGTTCATTCATTCATTGAGCCATCACCTGCTTCTGGAGCACCTACTGATTCAAGCCACAGGCATCATAGTGAAGACAGAGCTCTAGACTTAGAATGAGCAAGACCTGATTCTGTGATGAGCAAACCATGTGGTCCTGGGTAAGTTGCCCACTCTCCGTGCCTCAGTTTCCTCTTCTATCAAGTTAGAGTGATAATAGCACCTACTTCAATGGTTATTAAGGGGATTGGATGAGCTAACGCATGAACCATACTTTGCATCATGCCTGCTATACAACGCGCTATTTTATTTTCAGCCCATGATTTGCTAGTTGTAGTGGAGATTGCCTGTTACCTACCCAGCATCCAGATCTCACTTCTTCCTTCCTAACAGAATTCTAGGTTTGTTGAGGTAGCCCATTCCCAGCTCCAGTAGTAGGTTATTCTTAGTCTAAGCCAATCGTTTTCAAAGTATGGTCCCAAGCATTGACATTGCATGGGGTCTTGTCAGAAATGCTACACTCGGAATTTCAGTTTACATGTGTCCTGTGCCTAGCATGTGCCTGGCATTGTACAAAGAGATTCACACAGTGGCTCACATCTGTAATCCCAGCACTTTGGGAGGCTGAGGTGGGAGGACTGCTTGAGGCCAGGAGTTTGAGACCAGCCTGGGCAACATAGTGAGACCCTGTCTGTCTACAAAAAATAAAAAAACAATTAGCTGGGCATGGTGGCACAAGTCTTGTCCCAGCTACTTGGGAGGCTCAGGTGGGAGGATTGCTTGAGCCCAGAAGGTCAAGGCTGCAGTTAGCTATGATTGCACCTTTGCACTCCAGCCTGGGCAACAGAGCAAGACCTTGTCTCAAAAAAACAAAAGAAACAGTGATTTACACCTCAATTAACCCTAATTCATCTCTATTAACCCTCCAATACAGGTTCTGTTATTTTCTTCTTTATACGTATTAGGAAATTGATAATCAAAGAGGTCAATTTGGCTGAGCACAGTGGCTCATGCCTGTAATCTCAGCACTTTGGGAGGCCATGGCCGGTGGATCACTTGAGGTCAGGAGTTTGAGACCAGCCTGGCCAACATGGTGAAACCCTGTCTGTACTAAAAATACAAAAATTAGCCAGGCTTGGTGGCAGGTGCCTGTAATCCCAGCTACTTGGGTGGCTGAGGCAGGAGAATCACTTGAACCCAGGAGGCCGAGGTTGCAGTGAGCCAAGATCGTGCGATTGCACTCCAGCCTGGGCGACAGAGCAAGACTCCGTCTCAAAAAAAAAAAAAAAAAAAAATGTCAGTTTGCTTGCCCAAGATCACACAGCCAGTAGTGGCAAAATTGACACTGAACCTGGGTCCACCTGATTTCAAGGCCCTGAGCTGTAAGTTCCCTCTTCCTTCTTGTTTGCAAATCCATTTCATATCATGTCTGAGCTCTCCCAAAAGCTGGCTCTAAGATAAGGATCCTAGTAAAGATAGTTTATTTGAGCAGTGATTCCAGTAGGGGAGTGGAGAAGTGAGACAGGGAAGGGAAGGAAGGTAATTCAGGGTGTCTTCATGAACAGGCTCCCACAGCAGACACTGGAGCTCAGTCCTGCTGGGATTGAGAAATGGCTTTCTGGGTGCAGTGGCTCATGTCTGTAATCCCAGCGCTGTGGGAAGGCCAAGGCAGGAGGATCGCTTGAGGCCAGGAATTTGAGACCAGCCTGGGCAATATGGTGAAATCCCATTTCTACAAAAAATACAAAAATGAGCTGGGTGTATTGGCGCATGCTTGTAGTCCCAGCTGCTTGGAGGGCTAAGGTGGGAGGATTGCTTGAGCCTGGGAGGTTGAGGCTACTGTGAGCTGAGACTGTGCCACTGCACTCCAGGAAGACCCTGTCTCAAACAAAAAGAAAAACAAAAAACCCAAAATTTGAGAAATGGCTCTCTTTAGGGCAAGAGAATCAATGGCTTTATCTAGTATCCCTTGACTGCCCCAGCCAGGGGTAATGAGGAAATGGTTCTGGTCCAGGGGATATGAATAGGCATTGATTGTCTAGATTCTGAAATGTATATGCGTGGGCCCCACTAGGAATCTGTGCTTTGAAGAGAGTCCACAGCAGCCTTACAGCAATGTCTTCTCACTGTACTTCAACATCATCCTTATTAGGCCTCCCAACTGCTAATGCAGAACGGGTTTGCTACTTGTCCAGACCATCACCAAGACAACCCAGAGGACATGCGTTTAGAAGAGTAAGTTTGCCTTACTGTTTTCCTGCCGTACTGGTCTGAGATATTTCCCCAGAGCGTGGAGCTGGACATCATGCCTACAAAGACCACCTGTGGGGGGAAAGACAGTTGTCATTAGACAGAGGATGTGGATCATTGCACAGAAAGGGAACAACAAACGGAAGTGGTGACGTCACCCTCTAGGTAACAGCAATGATCTAACATTCACTGAGAGCCTGCCAAGGGGCAAACACTAAGTGCTTCCCGCAAGCTTCCCAACAATCCCATGGGGAGGGTGCTATTATTATTCCCATTTTACAGATGAGGGAACTGAGACTCAGAGAGAGAGGCAATTGCAGGACCAGCGTCACAGAGGCGTTAAGTGGCGCAGCCTGCGCTGGTATCAGGCATTCTGGCTCCAGAACTAGCTTTTGACAAGTTTCACACCATCCCAAAGAAACACTTGCCCTGCTGCTGAGAAAATACCAAGGGCTGCAAGGTAGAGGTTGGCATACAGGAGGCTGGCATGGGAGCTGTAAACTACTAGTAAGAGAAACCACTCATTGTGTGGGAGGCCAAGTCATTGTTACATTGTTAATCCTTGGAGTAACAGCTGGTGAGATTTGAATGATCCTACTCATATGACAGAATGGGGAGCTGAGGCTCAGATAGATTAGAAACCTGCTCCGCCTCCCTGAAAGGAGAGAGTAGAGGCAAGTCTTAAGCCCAAGCAGGCTGACTGGCACCTCATCACCATGCTCTTCCCTCTCCAAGTGCCAGACACCATGCTGAAGCCTTTATGCACACATCTTACTGCATCCTCACAGTAGCCCTACTTGGTGGGTGCTTATATTCTCCCCATTTCACAGATAAGGCAACTGAGGGCCAGAGAGGGGAGGGCACAGATTCAGTTTGGTCTGACCCAAAAAGCATTTCTTGTGGCATGTCCGAGGGCAGGGAGTGGGGATGGTACACAGAAGCGTTCCAAGGGAGAAGCAGACAGTTTATGTATGTATAATTTATTTATTTGTTTGTTTGTTTGTTTAGACAGGATCTTGCTCTGTCACCCAGGCTGGAGTGCAGTGGTATGGTCATGGTTCACTGCAGCCTCAGCCTCCTGGGCTCAAGTGATCCTCTCACCTCAGCCTCCTGAGTAGGGGAGACTACAGGTGTGCACCACCATGCCTAGCTAATTTTATTTATTTATTTATTTAGTAGAGACAGGATCTCACTTCGTTGTCCAGGTTGGTCTCTAACTCCTTGCTTCAAGGGATCCTTCCACATCAGCCTCCCACAGTGCTGGGATTACAGGCATGAGCCACTACACCTGGCCCGAATGGATCATTTTAAGGGAATTCATTTCCAAGTTTTCAACTTCCCTACAGATTCTTTCTCAAGAACGAGTTAGGAGTCTTCTTCTCCATTTCCTGCCTGACTCCCTCTTTCTCAGCCACACCTCTCTAGGCCAGTCTGACCAAGGCATTGCTTTTCAATGTAAACCCTTCAGGGTGCCTCAGAAGGGGCACTGATGATGCACTTACAGATGACTTTTGCAAGTCATCTGGTTTCCAATACCTTTATTATTACTTTCAACAGAATTGAAAAACAGTCTAATCAAGCTGTCAGCAAGTTAGGTCATGGAACATAATTTTTCAGAAATGAAAGCTGTGTGCTCTTTGGCACACGCAATTTGGAGAGCGTTTTTAAAAATCAAGTGGCATTAGTTTATTGAGTTCTAACAAAACTCCTTCAGTTCCTCAAAACTTTTTTTTATGTGAACAAAGCTTTTCATATATATAGTCATTCAGGAAAAGTGACAAATAGGAACAGACCTGGTGCTGAACCCTGTCTCACTTTAGCAATAATCATTCAGGAATACATAAAATATTTGGGAAACATTCCACACCACTCATTAAGGGATACATTTCCAATAAAACCTTGCTTATGATTAACAATTATTTATCAAAATTATATGTTGTTGTTGTGGTCTATTGTGTACTACTAAAAATTATAATGATAAGTCAGTGCAGGAGAAAAATTTTAGTGCTTAGAGCCTTCTCATCTCAGAGAATTAAAACTAATAATTTAGAATGTATGTATTCTGTCACAGAGAATTATAATAGGGTAATGAATGTGATCCTTTTAAGCAAAATAATATTACATTAGGCCAGCCTGGGCAACGTGGTGAAACTCTGTCTCTACTAAAAGTAAAAAAATTAGCTGGGCATGGTGGCGTGTGTCTTTGGTCCCAGCTGCTCAGGAGGCTGGGGTGGGAGGATGGCTTGAACTTAGAAGGCGAAGGTTGCAGTGAGACAAAATCACGCCACTATACTCCAGCCTGGGCAACACAGAGAGACCCTATTTCAAAAAAAAAATACATTAAGGTAAAATTATATGGAGAAATGAATGGAAATACCAGTTCCAAGAAAAAAGCAATGCAAAATTTCCAAATTCCTCTAAAGAGCTTGTTCATGTAACTTTAAAACAAATGATGGCAGATATCAGGTAAGTATTTCCATTTTTCCATTTTACTAGACACATTTTAAAAAGTGATATGATAATTTTATTTTGATTTTTATATTTCACTACACTGGCAATGGCATCATCTGCAACCTACAATTTTAAAACTTTCATGTCAATGTAAAAACATGTGACAGTCCTGGATTCTACATGGTTTTTATTTAATTCTTTTCTAGATTAACCTTGAAAAAAGATGTTTGAAGATTACTGTCTTGGGATAAAGTGTTGCCTTTGTTATGTGCTAAGTGATATTCTTACATCCTCAAAGAGTTAAATATCCCTCAAAACACCCATTTTCCCCAAAAGGAGAGATTCTGGCACAGCAAAGCACTGCTTCTATATCATAATAATTACGGTAATCTTGCACAGTATTTCCTGCAGCAAAAATGTGCAT